>NC_000002.12:155065375-155368405 GCF_000001405.40 Homo sapiens
TATAAAGGGAAATGAGTTCTTGATCTGATTCATAACTTGGTCATTGTTGGTGTATAGCAGTGCTATTGATTTGTGTGCATTAATTTTGTAACCTGAGACTTTATTGAATCTATTTGTCATATCTAGGAGTCTTTTGGAAGAGTTGTTAGGGTTTTCTAAGTATAAGAGCATATCATTGGCAAACTGAAATAGTTTGACTTTCTATTTTCCAATTTAGATATCTTCATTTCTTTCTCTAGCTTGCTTGCTCTGGCTAGGACTTCCAGTAACATGGTGAATAGAAGTGGTGAAAGTGGGCATCTTTGTCTTATTCCAGTTCTTACGGGGAATGTTTTTAATTTTTTCCCCTTTCCACATTATGTTGCTTGTGCATTTTTCATATATGGCTTTTATCATTTTGAGGTATGTTTCTTCTATGCCTAGTTTGTTGAGAATTTTTATCATAAAGGGATGTTTGATCTTGTCAAATGCTTTTGCATTTAATCTGACAGTCACGTGTTTTTTCTTTTCTTTTTTTTTTGTTGAGAGGGAGTCTCGCTCTGTCGCCCAGACTGGAGTGCAGTGGCGCCATCTTGGCTCACTGCAAGCTCTGCCTTCCCGGTTCACGCCATTGTCCTGCCTCAGCCTCTTATGTAGCTGGGACTACAGGCGCCCACCACCACGCCCAGCTAATTTTTTGTATTTTTAGTGGAGAAGGGGTTTCACTGTGTTAACCAGGATGGTCTCTATCTCCTGACCTCGTGATCCGCCCGCCTCTGCCTCCCAAAGTGTTGGGATTACATGCGTGAGCCACTGCACCCAGCCTTGTTTTTGTTTTTAATTCTGCTTATGTGATGTATCACATTTATTGACTTGTATATGTTGAACTATCCCTTCATCCCTGGGATGAAATTCAATTAGGTATGGTTAATTTTTTTTTCTGAGTTGTTAGATTTGGTTTCCTTGCATTTTGTGGTGATTTTTGCATCTATGTTCATGAGCTTTTTTCTCTCTTTTTTTTTTTTCCTGTTGCGTCTTTTCCTGGATTTGGTATCAGGGTGATACTGCCTTTGTTGAAATAGTTTCAGTAGATTGGTACCAATTCCTCTTGAATCTCTGGAAGAATTTGACTGTGACTCCAGCTAACCCAGGGCTTTTTGTGTTGGCCATTTTTTAAATTCATGATTCAATTTCACCAGTTGTTATTGGTCTGTTTCAGATGTATATTGCTTCCTGATTCAAGCTAGGGTTGTGTGTTTCCAGTAATTTTATCCATTTCTTCTAAATTTTCTAGTTTGTGTGCACAGAAGTGTTTATAGTACTCTTGAATAATCTGTATTTTTGTGGTGTCAGTTGTAATGCCTCCATTTTTATTTCTAATTAAGGTTATTTAATCTTTTTTCTTTTCTTGGTTAATCTAGCTAGTGATTTATCAATTTTATCTTTTCAAAGACCCAACTTGTTCCACTGATCTTTTGCAGTTTTTGTTGTTTCAATTTTATTCAGTTCTGCTCTGATCTTTGTTATTTCTTTCCTTCTTCTAGCTTTGTGTTTGATTTGCTCTTGTTTCTCTAGTTCCTCAATTTGTGGTCTCAGTTTGTTAATTTGTGATCTTTCAGACTTTTTGGTGTTTAGTGCCTATAAACTTTTCTCTTAGCACTGCTTTTGCTGTATCCCAAAGGTTTCGATAACTTGTGTCATTGTTACCCCTTTCAAAAGAATTTTAAATGTTCATTTCGATTTCATTGTTGACCCAAAAATCATTCAGGAGCAGATTGCTTCATTTCCATGTATTTGTATAGTTTTGAGGGTTCCTTTTTGTAGCTGATTTCTGTTTTAATTCCACAGTAGTCCAAGGAGATATTTGATATGATTCTGATTTTTAAAAATCTATTGAGACTTGTTTTCTGGACTATTATATAGTCTATCTTGGAGAATGTTCCAGGTGCTGATGATAAGAATGTATATTCTGCTTTTCTTGGTTAAAATGTTCTATAAATATCTGTTAGGTCAATTTGTTTCAGAGTGCAGTTTAAATCTAATGTTTCTTTGTTGATTTTCTGCCTCAATAACCTGTTTAGCGCCATCAGTGGAGTGCTCAGGTTCCTCATTGTTATTGTGTCATTGTCTATCTCTGTTCTAAGTCTAGTAGTAATTGCTTTATACATCTGGGAGCTTCAGGATTAGGTGCATATCTATTTAGGATTGTTATATCTTCTTGTTGAATTGATCCTTTTATCAGTATATAATAACCTTCTGTGATTTTTTTAAGGTCGTTGCTTTAAAGTATGTTTATCTAATGTAAGAATAGTTACTCATGCTCACATTTGCTTTCCATTTGAATGAAATATCTTTTTTTACCACTTTACCTTGAATCTATAAGACTATGTTAGGCATATCTACTGAAGATAACAAATATTTGGTTTGTAATTTTTTATCCATTCTGCCAACCTGTATATTTTAAGAGAAGCATTTCTATCAGTTACATTCAATGTTAATATTGAGATGTGAGATACTGTTCCAGTCATTATGCTGTTATCTAGTGACTTTGTTTTCTTCATTGTGTTACTGTTTTATAAGCCCTGTGAATTTTATGCTTTCAGGTGTATCTATTCTGTGCCTATCAACCTTTTGTTTCAGTTTTAAGCTTTTGTTTGTTTGTTCGTTTTAGCATTTCTTGTAGGGCTGGCCTAATATTGACAAATACCAGTATTTGCTTGCTTGAGAAAGACTTTACTTCTCCTTCATTTATGAAACTTAGTTTTGCTAGATACCAAATTCTTGGTTTACAGTTACTCTTTTTAAAGAGACTAAAAATAGGATCCCAATCTCTTCTCACTTGTAAGATTTCTGTTGAGAAGTATGGTGTTAGTCTGACAGGTTTTTCTTTATAGGTTACCTGATGTTTTTGTCTCACTGCTAGAATTCTTTCCTTCACATTGACTTTAGATAGCCTGATGACTGTGTGTCTCGGTGATGCCCTTTTTGCAATGAATCTCCCAGGAGGCATTTAGCTTCTTGAATTTGGATATCTAAATCTCTAGCAAGACCAGGGAAGTTTTCCTCAATTATTCCCTCATAGGTTTTGCAAACTTTTTGCTATTTCTTCTCCCAGAGAAACACCTATGATTCTTAGATTTGGCCATTTTACATGATCCCATATTTCTTGAACACTATGTTTATTTCCTTTATTTTTTATTTTTGTCTGATTGATTGGGTTAATTTGAAAGCCTTGTCTTAGAGCTCTGAAATTCTTTCTTCTCCTTTGCCTAGTCTATTGCTAAAACTTTCCACTGCAATTTGTACTTCCTTAAATGTGTCTTTAATTTCCAGAAGTTCTGATAGGTTTTTCTTTAAAATATCCATCTCTTTAGAAAAATTTTCATATGTATACTTATTTTTTAAAATTTCTTTATGCTTTTTATCTTTCTCTTGGATCTCCTTGAGTAACTTAATAATCAATCTTTTGAATTCTTTGTCTGGCATTTTAAATATTTCATCTTGGTTTGGATCCACTGCTGGAGAGTTAGTGTGATCTTTCAGGGGTCTTGTAGGATCCTACTTCATTCATATTGCCAGAATTACTTTCCTGGTTCCTTTTCATTTGGGTGGACTATTTCTTCTAATTATTTTTGAAGTTATTTTTTTATTTGACTGGATTTTACTTTTTAATTATTTTTCCCTTTGAGAATGTGGCCTTAATGTTTATAGTTTATTGTCACCTACATTTGGCTTTGAGTGCTTTCAGTGGTGAAGGCTGTGTATGAGTTCCTTGGTTATAAAGAATCTTTGTGTGATGGCTTTCTCAGATGCTTATTGTTGTAGTAGTATTCTGGGTGTGTGAATAAGTTCACTCTCTCTTGTGGAAAGTTTTCCACCTGGTTCATGATGTAGGCTGCTGCCTGCTGCTTCTTTCAAAGGACTTTGTGAATACTTTTTAAATCATGTTCCTCTTAAGTCCCTGACCATCTTGCCAAACCATTGACTACATCACATAATTTGATATATAATCACACATCTGACCATTTCTTCTTCCAAGGAAGTGCAAAACCAGCTCTGCACTGCTGAAAGTTCTGCCTATTGAGCAAATTTATCTTTACATCTGTACTTCAGGAATGTCCCATAAAGGTGCTGCAGTACTCCAGGTGTCCACTTTTGAGTGGTGCCTGTGTATTATGCAGAACTAATTATAAACCAGGCCTGATATTCTCTTCCTATGTTAATTGATTGCTGGGGACTCTTCATGAAGCTAAAGTTGTAGGCTGGGAGAGAAAAGGCAGTGTAGCGGGAGTAAGAATTATGGACATTTGGGCCACGAATTCATTTAACTTACATGTACCACTTTAGGGCCTGTTCAAGCTGTGCATGTCCCATTCTATGGCTTGGTGGGTCAGGTAACACCCAGTTCATGATAAGTAATTCAGGTCACACAGTAACTTGGTGGCCCATAAGTATGAGTCTCTACTAAGGTTCATTAGAAAGCCAAGAGATGTTCCTCAAAGGGAGAATAGTTACCTGTGGAGGATAACAGGGCTTTGCTCCGAAATCATAAGAACCCGTACTTTTATTCACCTATCCAATCCCTGTCTGTAACTGACACTTCATGCACCATTGCATCTACTGAATCATATGGCTAAAGTGGCAGAGCAGGTTGCATAGAAACGCAAACCTATTGAAGACATCTTTCTTGTTCTAGACCCCACTCAAATTTAGCAGCTTCTTGGGTGACTTGGTAAATGGGCTGGAGTAACACTCCCAAATGAGAATTATGTTCCTCTTCAAATCCAAAGAGGCTCACTATGCCTTACTTCTCTTTCTTGGTTGTAGATGAAGCTAGGTGCAACAACTTATCCTCCACCATAGATGCAATACCTCAATATGCCACACACAACTGCAGTCCTGAAAATTTCACTGAGTCAGAAGTCCTCTGAATTTTAGTTAGATTTATTTCCTACACTGTTACATGCCAGTGTCTTACTAATAAGTCTAGAGTAGTTGTTACTTCTTGTTCATTAGGTCCAGTCAGCACAATATAATCAATGCAATGAACCAGGGAGACATGTTATGAAAGGGGAAGGTGATCAAGAATCCTGTAAGCAAAATGAATGCAAAGGGCTGAAGAGTTGATAAAATTATGAGCTAGGACACTGAAGGTGTACTGTGGCCTTGCCAGCTAAAGCAAACTGTTTCTGGTGGCCTTATGAATAGGTATGGAGAAAAAGTCATTTGCTACACCAATGACTGCACACCAAGCAGCAAGGGATGTGTTTATTTGCTCAAGCAATGAAACCCCATCTGGTACGGCAACTGCAATTGGAGTCACTATGCAATTAAGCTTATGTTAATTCACCATCATTCTCCAAGAGCCATCTGTCTTCTGCATAGGCCAAATAGAAGAGTTGAATGGGGAATGGGCTAGGAGTCATCAACCTTGCATTTTTCAAGTCTTTGATAGTGGCACTAATTTCTGAAATTCTTCTAGAAATGAAATATTGCATTTTGATTTACTATTTTTCTAAGTAGAAGTGGTTCTAATGGCTTTAACTTGGCCTTTCCTAGCATAATAATCTTCACTCCACAGGCCAGGAATGTGACACAGATTTATTGCACACTGGTTATAAACTTTTCTGAGTCTGGTGAGACAGAACACTTCATATACAACAAGTTACATAATGTGGATTTTTTACTTACAGATAGGCAGCAAGGAACAAAAGAAACCTAGGATTTATTGTGAGCTATTTCCCCAAGGCTCAAGAAACTGGTGAGGGGGAGTCTCACCTGCATGTACCACACTTGCTCCCAAAAAGGCAGTCCATCCTGGGTTATATACCTAAGGAGCCACATGACACACTGGGTTAAAAATTTGAAGGATATCCTGCTTCCAAGATAGAAAGGAACAAATTCTGGGCTTTTCTAAGCAGTTCCTCCCTAGCTTAGTATACTATATTCCCTAGAAGAGACAGAAACAAGGCCTGGGCTGTTTCAAGCATTGCCTTTCTATCTCAGGATATTGCACTCCCAGAACATTCTACAGTCATTCTTGATAACTGTAAACAAGAAAGGCAGGGAGGATTGGGTAGGTCCAATGCCATCCAGAGAACTGTTCTGCAAGGTAACCAGTATGGGGATTATGCCAGCTGTATGTATGCTTATTCCAGTTATGCATTCCTGAATTGGAGAAATAACCACAGATGAGTTTGGGGACCTACTGGACCTGCTGTGAAAAGTACCCAAGCTAAAACTCCATTAATCACTTGACCTCCACAAGACCTGTTCTGATTGGTGGGCCAAAGTATTGTTTTGGTTGTCCTGGAATTACTGACCATTAAGAGCCAATGTCCAGATATCCCCAAAAGTTCCAATTATTTCTTTTTTTTCCCCCAATATACAGTTACCTGGGAAAAGGCAATATGTTCCTTTAAGGAAGGTTGAGAGAAATAGTAGTATACATTTTTTGGTAATGTACTGGGGACCCTCCCAAGTGGTGCTGAACTCCCCTTTATACCAGGGATTTGGGGGTAAACTGGCTCAAGTCTTGGAATACATTGAGGAGCCATGACCCTATGTTGTGATCGGAATGGGCTTCCTAAAATGAATGTGTTCAAACTTAATCCCCATTGTGGTGGTATTAAGAGATAGGGCCTTTGGGAAGTGATTAAGTCATGAGGGCTCCTCCCTCACTGAATGAATTAGTGCTTTATAAAAAGGCTCAAGATTGCAGGGAGCACTCTCTTGCTCTTCCACTCTCCATCTCGTAAGGACACAGCATTTGTTCCCTCCAGAGGACACAACAACAAGGTGTAATCTTGGAAGTCGAGATCAGGCCCTCAACAGACACCAATTTCTTTGGTGCCTTTATCTTAGATTTGTCCGCCTCCAGAACTGTGAGAAATCAATTTCTGTTTTTTATAAATTACCCAGTTTGTGGTATTCTGTCATAGCAGCATAAAGGGACTAAGACACTCTGTTTCAATGATTTAGGTCAGATTTTTGTGCACTTGACCTAGAGCTTTTCTGCTCATACAGATAAAGTAAGAATTTAGCACACTTCTTATCTATTTCACTTCTAGGAACAACCATGACCAAACAGCCAACACCATAAGCCTGTGTAAGTCAGACTATTCAGATTGCTGCTTTGACTCTACAAATCCAGCGTTTCCAATTTACTCACTGTAGGCCACATTTTAGTCCATGTTTCACCTAATCAACTAAACAAATGGTTAGAACTCTTTCTGACTCCCTGAACTGCAACACTGAACACAGATTCTCCACTTAGTGAGCCCATGCCAATAAATTCATCCTGATCCAACTTCGCATTTCTTCCACCACTATTCCTTACCTTCAGCATCCATTTCTACATATGTCCTCTGGTTTTTGTGTGCATAAATTAAAAACATCAAGTGGTTATTTTTAGTGTAATTCACTTCCCAATGGGTCACATATTGTACCTTGTCTTTATAGGTCTGCTGGGAGTTGAGTAAAGTTATAGGTCTAGAAGCAAAGAGGGGTGGTGGGTGGGTGTGAGTCCTGAAGAGAATCACCTGTCTTGCATGGTAAGTGCCTCCAGGAGGCCATGATAGTTTCCTCTGTCAATGTAGGGTTAATCTCTTCACGCTGAGATGGAAAGGCTGATACTGCAGTGGGTGGGAAGGAGCTATCACTCACTGGGGATATGGAAGCCACTTCTGTTGGGATTGGAGAGGCCAATAGCTCCGGTAAATGAGGAGGTCGCTTTCAGTTGGGGTAGGGATACCTCTTCTACTGGCAAAGAAGACTCATTATACTTAGGTGTTCAATGTCCACAGCTTCACTGGGGTCTTCTCTTGTGTCTTTACCCCAATTTATAGGATCCCATTCACTCCCAATCAATGACCTCACTTTAACAAGAAACACTTTATGAGACTGGAAGTTCCTCTTGTGTTGTAATTCAGATCGTCTTAGTCATTTGATTTTTAACAATTTCAGCCCTGTGATTGAAAAGCTGTCTTTCATAATTCAAGATAAGATAAAGAAGTTTTCATATTAAAAAAAAACAAAATTTATCAGTAGCAGACCTGTGTTGGCCAAAGGCCAAAGGGATTTGCTTAATCTGAGGGGAACTGAAACCATATTTTAATGCATATCCACAAGAAGCAATGAATGAACAAAACTGGTAAGTATATGTGTAAATACAAAAGACTATATAATCTTTCCTTTCTGCTCTTAATTTCTCTAAAAACACATGTATACATGAACTAATTTTTCATAAAAACATGGTAGTGGTTTTTAATGTATGTAGAAGGAATATATACAAAAAGAATAGTGCAAAGGATGAGGAAATAAATGAAACTATAGTGTTTCAAGATTCCTATATTTCATTTAAAAATACAATGTTTAATTAGATTGTTGTACGTTAAATTAATTCACAGTAATCCCTTGAAGCAATCACTGGAATTACAATGCAAAGAAGTATAGCTAAATGACAATCAGGAAATCTAACTCAGCGTTGCCAAAATGTCTCTCTTCATCATGTATAAGGAGAAAAAAGAATCCAGACAAACTGGGGGGGTTTTCAAGCCCTGGAGGTAACTTCATACTTCCAAGTATGGATAAATGGTTTTCAAAGTGTTATAAATTCAGGCACAGTGATAACTAGAAATTTTTCTAGTTTCCAGGATTTAGAATGTACAGCCTCTAAATTAGAGTCAGAATATGTATATTCCTTCAAACAACTTTATGCTACAAAATAATGAAAAGGTAAAACTGACTGGCCTAGCTTAATAATGTTGGTAACTTATTATAAAAAACAAATTTGATTCTATTTTCATGTGTTTCACAGATAATCAAAAGTAGTGGAAAGAACTACATGAGAATCAGGGCAAAATAATTAGATTCTACAATGATTATATGTGAATATGTGCCTCTTCGATGTGTATAGAGCCTGGAGGGAGACAACTGAACCAGGGTAATGCTGATCTCCAATAACAGAAATCTAATGAAAGTAAATACGATACTATAACATTTCAGTGGCAGTCCACTTTTTTTGATATATGAGGTACTATTTTACCATTGGTTTAATTTTGAAATCATGGTTGAAAAATTTTAATGAGATAGTGACTAATTAGTGTTTAATTTTATGATATACAATTATAAAAAGAAAAATGGGATATTGATCTGTTGACAATTAATTAGCTTTAAGTGGACATTTTATCTGCATATTTCAAAATATGTTTAATACTATTTACTATACAAATATTCTTATTTTATCCCTTTGATATAAACTTTATAATAACACATAAAATAACTGAGGGATATAGAGTCATTATTTCTATTTTATTTTAGTCATGCACACTTATTCATCCCTTTTAAGAAATAAATTTGCGCACAAACAGAAAAGGCAATTACTATGTAATTCTCTAAGAAGGATAAAATTATATATCTAATTATCATCTATATTCCTTGCATAATGATATAATAATAAATAAAGCAATTATTATTCTTCAAAATTCTCTGTAAAAGTGTAATCTATTAAGTCTCTTTAAAAACCAATAGAATATTTCAAAAATTTTCTTGAATTTCTTCTCATAAATTGGTAGCAATGTATAGCTCCAGGGAGGAAAATTGGATATGTGGGAGACAGTAGTGATAGGAAAATGTTCTTTCAGTTGTGTAGCTTTTGGTGCCTTTCTAATTTTATACCATGAGCATGTATACTAAAATTTAAAAAATTAAAAATTAACTGACCAATTCTGAAAAAATTGTAGTTTATCTGCATAATAAACGAAGCCCAATGTGTAGTTGTACTAGTCAATTACAGAATGAAGACAGAGAGGGATTCCTGGAGAGAGGGTAGAACATGATGAAATGTGATAGAATAAAGAGCCAGAAATATGGTGAGAAGCCAGAAAGAAGGTAGAAGGTAAGTTCTGAGATTTTCACAGTGGTGATGATGTTTTATAAGTAGGGCTATCTATTCCATGTTAATCAGTTCCCTGTATTCCTTTCCCCTTTGCCTACATTGTATCTGATAGTAATTTTCTAATTGCAAATGTTACAACTTCCATCCAAAGTGGCTTCAGCCAAAAAAAATTTATTAGGTCATATAAACTGAAAAATCAAGATCTTGAGCTTTCTTCCCAGATATAGCTTAATTTAGGCCTCAAGTAGTCCCTCCAAGATCTGCCTTTCAGCTCTGTTACCTCTGATTTGATTAGTCTGACATGGATCAGGCAATCAGAGATGGAATGTTAAGCTTGGCATAGATGAGCCCACGTGACTGTCCTTGGGATCTTGTGCTGGAGTGAGCTTCACTGAAGGATACTGCCTGAAAACTGAAGGGGTAACATCTGAATATTATTTCTCCCAAAAGAGAAGGGGGTGTGTGAAAGGCTGGGAGAGCAAAAATAATCAAAAATCTACTTTCTTTAACCAATTTCTACTACGGATAGCTGACTTGTATAAGATGTGTTTGGGTTACTCATAGGGAGCATGGGTTTGCTCCACATTGGTTAAGGTACAAAAAAGGGAAGGGATGTATATAAACATCAAAAAGAGAGATGACTAATTTAACAATAGCAGAAAACTATACCGAGAAAAATGCAGAGGAAAAAAGCCCTAAGGATTTGGGACACAACATTATACTGTGTACATAACATTTTCTTATATTGCATTACTAAACATCACAGGACTGCATATTCTTAGCAATCCAGAAGACATAATTAAAAGGTTCATGAGATCCACAGCTATAATAAAAATAAACTCAGGGATTCTACATTGGTTTAACATTCTTTGGAGGAATATTTGCGTTTAACTTTTTAAGATGTTGTTTGGCTTTACTGGGATAAAAGTGGATATGTGTAATTTGCCTCAGGCAAATACATTACAGAACCTGAAAAAAAAAAGAGAGATAAAAGTTTACACAGTCTTCTCCCAAGAGTCAGTCTATACAGGCGAGCATCCCAATGAGTAAAACTCATTTTATAGACAGAAAACACATATATTAAGTTTAGAGTCTAAGAAACTGACTTTAGAGTAATCTTCATCTTTCCTATTGTTCTGTAAATGCTCTTGAATAGTTTCATTCCTCTTGCTTTTTTAGAAAATGAATTAATAGTAATTGGACTACTTCCAATAGAAAAGGTTTCTTTCTTGATCAAGAAAGCAAATGTTTGAAGAAAGTCATAGCAATTTTATTAAACACTGAAAACTAGGAGTAAGGAAGGATTATTAAATCCTGTTCATAAGTGGAATACCAGCATTTTATACTTGCTGCCTGCGGCAGTTCATCTTTGATTGTCATTTCCTGGACTTAGTTTCTACAAATTTGCAGAATCAGGCTGCAGAGTGAAAAGCACTCAGGTCCCACATTGTCGGCCTACCATCGGCTCCAATACTTACTTATTTATTAGCTCTGTGTCCTTTGAAAGGTCCCCCAATGTATTTTGAGCCTCAATCTCCTGTCCTGCCAAATGGCATTTGCAGTGATTTTAACCATTATATAGGTTGTGCATTATATAGGTGGTATTACATAGTGCTTAAAAATTTAGAATAATTTCAGATTTACAGAGAACTTGTGAAAATAGTGAAGAGTGCCTGTGTATTGCACAACCAGTTCCTTCTATTGTTGTCAACTTACATTCATTATTAGGGCACAGTTGTCACAATTAATGAGCCAATATTGATACATTATTTTTAATTTAAAAGTCCACAGTTTATTCAGATTTTCTTTGTTTGTTTCTAACCTTTTTCCACTCCAGGATCCCACCTATGATACAGCATTCTTATAGTGGTCATGTCTTTCTTGGCTGCTTCTTGAAACACAACTTCAGGGCTATACTCTCATGCAGAACTTGTCAGAGTTTGGTTGTAGGCTTTGTTTCAACAGGTCTTGAATAAACCTTAGTCTAGGTAGGTCTTTACTTCTATGGCTTTTGTGGTACCTTAGCTGGATGTTCAAGCGTTAATAAGGCATTAATAACATTTCTCGACTTAATTGAGGCCAAATCTCCAAATTGCATCAGTGCTGTTTAATTTCAAGTCTCTGTGTTCTGTTCTGAACCTTGTCGAAACAGCTCTCTGGTAAGTCTCAGGTAATCACAACCTGATGACAAGCAGCTCAGCTCTTAGACATGGACTCCCAGCTAGTCCCATATGGACTCCAATATGAAACTCCATCCCAGGCCTTTCTTTGTTATCTCTTCAGGTTTCTGTTCTCTGGTTTTTTTTTTGTTGTTGTTGTTGTTGTTGTTCTTTTGTTCTTTGGCATCTTAGAGGGGATGCCATGATCTGTTGGATTTCAACTCAATGAGTCATAATTGGGAAATTATCCCCAAGTAGAGAACTACTGAAATCAGTAGGAAAATCATAAGCTTTTCTTCTTTTAGGACTTGCAGTGTTGAATATACTTTTTTGAAGGCCTAAAAATATATGTCATATATTTTATTAAATTTTATAGGGTTTTTTGATGGAAGGCTTATATCAGCACAATACAAATATTATTGCTGAAGTTATAGTTCCTCAGTATTTCTTTTTGATATTTTTACTTTCACCTGAAATATATATTAATATGTAATTAACACTAGAAAATTATATATGTATATGCATATATATACACACATACATATATACAAACATACCCTCACATATATATGCATATACAAAATTTGGGTTTGTTTATGATGAACAGAAAAAAATACCATTGGTTACAGTTATATAGGTAACAATTACTTATACTACTTTATAGAGAAGGTTATATCCTTTATTCAGGCAAAAATAGTTTTAATATGAATTTATATAATGTAGTCACATATGTGCTTTTTACGGCAGTTAGCATGGGCTGACTGCAGAGTATCTTGGACTCTCAACACTCTATGTAATTTGCGGGAGGGACTAGGGTGACTTCAAATCTAGACTTATGGTTGTGGTTTGCTTTCCCTGTGATCCCAAGATGAACATGGCACAAGTGCCTTAGTGTGTAAATGAGCTTTCCACTATACCAAGTGTGTAAGAAAACCTGAAAAAGTCATTAGGACTATCTGGGGATCCTTAGTAAATAATTCAGCCAAAATGCCATGCACAGGTGCAAATGAAATAAATCATATTACTCTTTAAAACAGTGTGTCACCGCTGTTCTCACTTGTAAGTGGGAGCTGAATGATGAGAACACATGGACACATGGTGGGGAACAACACACACTGGGGCCTGTCTGAGGAGGGGTAGCAGAAGGGAGAGCATCAGAAAGAATAGCTAATGGATGCTGCGCTTAATACCAAGGTGATGGGATGATCTGTGCGATGAACCACCATGGCACACATTTACCTGTGTAACAAACCTTCACATCCTGCACGTGTACCCCACAACTTAAAATAAAAGTTGAAGAAAAAATAAAACAAAATTGTGTGTCAGATGTACACGGTCTTAAGTGGCAAACCAAGGCATGTGATATACAAAGATACTTTCAGTGAAAGGATTTTATTTATTTATTTATTTATTTGAGACGGAGTCTCACTCTGTCGCCAGGCTGGAGTGTAGTGGCACGATCTCGGCTCACTGCAACCTCCCTGTCACGGGTTCAAGCGATTCTCCTGCTTCAGCTTCCCGAGTAGCTGGGACTACAGGTGCGCCCCACCATGCCCAGCTAATTTTTGTATTTTTAGTAGAGACAGGGTTTCACCATGTTGGCCAGGATGGTCTCAATCCCTTGACCTCCTGATCTGCCCTCCTCGGCCTCCCAAAGTGCTGGGATTACAGGCATAAGCCACCATGCCCAGCCTTATTAAAGGAAGAATAGTTATCAAAGCAATCCAAGCATGAAACTTTGTGTTAATATAGACTAAAAATTGGCTTTAAATTTCTAATAATAGGCAGATTATGTTAAAGACCAATAACATTTTCAAATAAAGAAACTAAGAAGAAATGAGGTGAAACTAAGTCTCACAAAAATTAAATAATTTGAACAAGGTCACTTAGCTAACAAGTGGCAGAGATGAATCAAAAGTTTAGTTTTGTGTATCTTTGTATAATCCCAAGTCATTCTTTGCTAGGCCCAGTTTTCCCAATTGGTAATTATCCTGGAAGGGAATAACCTGTTTTCTTGACTTATTTACTCTCCAGTTGTAAAAATATGGTTTTCCTTATTTTCTCTGCAACTTGCTAAGTACAATTTTTCCCCTTTTGTAGCCATTAACATTTCTCTCAGTTCCCCAATTCCTTATTCATTTATATTTTTCCTTAATAAATATAAAGCTAGGTATATTTTTGTTGTTAGTCCAAAGACTTATATATAGCATGAAGAACACATTTTCCTTTAATATTAAAGCCTCTGGGATTGAGCAAATTTAACAAGTCTCTTTAGCTGAGTCCACATTTCCATGGTAGATCACTTTAAAAATAAATGTTTTTATGGATTCAATTTACTGTGACTTACGCACGTTATGCCCTCAATAGCTGGACTGTGACTTCCAGCTTCTTTGTCACTTAAAGAATCTTGCAGACTCTTTGTAGCAAATTGGCCCCATTGAAAGTTATAGATCATTTTGATTCAGCTGCAAACATACAGGGTCAGCCTCAATCTGAAATGCTTTGTTTTTTTCTTATTGGCCATAAATCCCTTTCTTGTCACTTTTGAAGCAGGAGAAATGCAGTGAAAAATTTAAGAGTTCAGCGAGAATATGACTCTCTAATTAAAACTTATTTGAGAACAAAGCAAATTTATTTATTAAATTGCCAATAATCAAGCGCAATTGAATATCTGAAAAGGATTTTTTATATTTTTCATCTTGTTATTTGAACTTTAAGATGAACTGTATTCCTAAAAGATTTTAATGAGAGAATGTTTTCTTAACACCTTAATATTATTCTATTTTTGGAGGTAAGTATATGAATAATATTTATAGCATAGAATAGATTTATGTTATTTATTTCTAGTGACTAAAATTTCTGAACACACCAATTATAACTAACAATTCATCTATATCAAATCCACATAATGTAAAAATAAAAGCAGAGATACACATACCAGAAGTAAAGTGTAGAACAGTATAAATGCTACATACAAGAAAAAGTATGGGTTCAAACATTTAAGAGTTCTTCATGAATGGAAGCATTAAGATAATGTATCTTGACAGAGACAAATTCTGAGTTGGGTTTGGAGCAAGATGATGCAGGATATTGGAATTTGCAGTTTATCTTATGTATATTAAGCAGAGTGGTGATACGATCAATATGGTGCTTCAGGCAGCACACAGGATCGATTAAGAGGCCAAAGGTTCAAGGTCCTGACTCTCACTGGGGCAGTGCAATTCCTAAGGGACATTATGTAAATTTGGGAGCCTTTTTTGTTTCAATGATAAGATGGTGATAATGGCATTTAATTGGTTAGTGCTACAGAAACAAGGCATTCTGCTATGTGTAGCACAACTTTTAACAGGAAGCAATGGTTTTACATACCACTTATCTTCCAAATGCCTTGAGAGAGAGATATATATATACATTAAAAAAATTCATTTAAAAGTTATCTTTTAAGATGTAAATTCACACAAAAATACTTTTTTCCCCTGGCTTTAATGACATTGAATGTTCTAGAAATAAACCTAACAAGCAAAATGAGAAGTTATTGTACTCTAGTTGGTTCCAAATTTACTAAGAGTAGTTGAACATATTAGAAATCATACCACTCATGGCAAAACTATTTGACAGCTTTTAGATGCCGATATAGTATACTTGTGTCAATCTGTGTTTATAAAAGACTATTAATATTCTAAAATAATTATCTCTTATTTGCTACATATTTCTTATTTTAACTACAAATAATATACATCAACATTATTCAGTTATATATTTCAAACTGGATTTTAAGTATTTTCCACAAATAACAGTCATCAATGTGTCTAATCTGCCAACATTATTTTTGTTCTAATGAAGAAAGGAAATGTTACATTTAATTAACTATTTTACAATGAAGCATGCTGATAAAATTGGCAAAATATAATATACTTCCGAGATAGTAGGAAAAATTCTAAAAACTCTATACTGTGTTGTCATTTTAATGCTAAAAAATTTTATTAAAGAAGGAAAAGAGACCATCGTTTTCTAACAGTAGCACAAATGATCATAAAATATACGAAGCCACATACTATTAGAAAAAGCAATATTCAGCTTGTCAGCTTTGGGTGGTTACTAGAATTAAGGAAGAAAATCCAAATAATATATTTTTTTCTTATTTCATTAATAAATGATCTGTTTCAAGATAAATTAATTCAATGGCAAAAGATGTCAATAATCGATTATTTGGTACCTGTCATCAAGTACATCTTCATTACAATTCTAGGACAGTATAATGTGTCAATATGATGAGTTAGTGCTTGCAGATGTTGTGTCCCATGGAATAAAAGTTGTATTAAAATGTTATTTTTAAAAATTTTCAGAGAATGATCACCAAACGTCTGTGAATATTAACAAGTTATTTTATGGGCCAAATATTCTACTTTCCAATGTCACTGCTTATACAAACTGGTGGAGCACCAGCTATGTCTGGTAGGCAGAATGTTGCTAGGCATAAAAAAGTCACAAGCTGTATTTGAACCATTCATTTACATATCTTAGAAACCAGGATTCTTAGATCAAGGCCACAAGTTATGAATGTTGTTATTATTGCTATTATTGTTATTATTGCTAATAAACAGTAATATATTAACAACAGATTATTAGTTCATAAATGGTAAAATCACATGAAGAATGTGTATGAACATGTTTCTTATATGAAAGAACAGAATATATTTCTAGGAAGGAGCATTGTAGACCATAATCCTAAACTTGGCGCTACATCCCTACCCCTTTCATGCTGTAAATCCAGTAACTTATCTATTATATCTGGATTTCCTTTTCAGACATTTCTCACTCAACTTATCCATTTGTAATTGCTATCAATGATACAGTTCATGTTTCTAACTAATAATGCCTATATTAATTAGTAATGACTACACAATTAAGAAAGAAATGTACTCTACACATAGATCCTTTTCTGTTCTTATATTAATTGAATTGACGTTTATTTGGACCCAGATTTGCTAGTGCTATTTTCTTAACTAAATTATATTGATGATTAGCCATTGATAAGAATTACAGTTCTTTACTATGGAAATGCTGAAATGTTTCTGCCAAATTATTAGATCATTTATTATATATTGATGTATAGGAGGAGTTGATTGGCCTTGTCCTATTGGTATGATTAAGATGATATTCCTTTCTACTAATGGACCTTATGTTAAGAATTTTGAGTGATTCAAAGACAGAAAACCAAACACTGCATGTTCTCACTCATAGTTGGAATTGAACAATGAGAACACCTGGACACAGGGTGGGGAACATCACACACCAGGGCCTGTCGGTGGGTGGGGGTGCTGGGGAGGGATAGCATTAGGAGAAATACCTAATGTAAATGATGAGTTGATGGGTGCAGCAAACCAACATGGCATGTGTATACCTATGTATCAAACCTGCACGTTGTGCACATGTACCCTAGAACTTAACGTATAATAAAAAAAAGACAATAATAAACTATCAAACCATAAAAAAAGAATTTTGAGTGATTATAATATCATTTTTTATAATTTTAAACTGTTGATTACATTTCTTTAAGAGATTACAAGCTTCACTTGATGCTCTGAAAACTAATAGTGGAAATTTGGTTTCTCCTTAAACATTGGTCTTGAAAAATGCAGGTTTTCATTATCTTATTTTTTTTAAATTTTCAGAACAGGAAAGGATTGTTTAGCTGACATGGAAGATTCAATATCTGAACAAGGAGTTCTAAATAATTCTCTGCACCTTAGTCTGCCAATACTCATTCTAAAACTACACAAAGGAGATTCAAAATAAAAAGAGGATGATAAACGGCAAAACCATCTGAGGTACTTTTTGTTTTTTCATGTATATATGTTTTGAATTAAACAATGAGTTAATTCAGTAAGAATTGTTTAAGATCTAATAGCTCTTAATTCATTTTCTTTATATTATCATCCCTACTCCTGGAATGTATCTTCCTTAGCATTTATTTGCTTAGAAAGCATATTTCCAGCAGAATTTATATACATATGCCAATTAAGAAATTTAAAATACTGCTGTGATGCTCTTAAAAATCTTGAAATTTAATTTGATTTAAAATAAAGATATATTGTATATCACAATCCTGTTCTGATTACTTTTCTAAAAACACCCAGGTATTGAATAATTGAAACCACAGATTGCTGCAAAATAGCTTGGTAGATATGAGTAGTTGCCCAAGTTGCAGAAGAGGATGCTGTTGTACACATCATCCTTGAGATAGGATGTAGAAACCCAGACACAGATGGATTGATGATACTCTAGATACCGAGGTATGAAATACTAAGAAAAAAACTTTAAAAAATTCAAAGCTCTACTTCTTGAAAATCTAATTCAATAAGGTTAGAGTGAAGAGTTTGTTTCTTCTAAAAGGCATCCATGTTAATTCTGAGGGAGAGCCAAATTTGGAAATTATTTAAAGACTTAATGTTTTTCTTTTCTTCTTTCTATAAAATGTTAATAACTATTATACAATGGCCTACTTTTACTTTTCTTCCAAATCTATTCCAAAGGTATATTTATTTGCTTATTTTCATAATAAATATAATACAAGATTGCCCCTTTAAATTTAAATATATTCAGAAACATTTCCTATGAAAAATTTATTATGAGGAAAACAGACAACATATATGCGTAATGAATTTATGCAATAATAATATTTACGTAAATGCATACAGTACATGTATTTTCAGCATTTAATATGATAATGATACTTCAAGAAATATGATATAATAAATATGATACTTCAAGACATTTTTTACATGAGCAATGCCAGTATCTAATTTTTATCTTTATGATCACATATGTATTTTCAAGATTATTGGTGGTTTTCTTCCTTTACAACTTTTATTTTAGGTTTAGGAAGTACATGTGCAGATTACTTACGTGAGTAAACTGTACATTGTGGGTGTTTACTGTACAGATTATATTGTTACCCAGCTATTGAGCATAGTATCTGATAGATCATTTTTTGATCTTTACCCTCCTCTCACCTCCATTCTCAAGTAGGCCCTGGTGTTTATTGTTCCCTTCTTTCTGTCCACTTGTTTTTCTGTTTCTGTCTTAATTTGTTTAGGATAATGGCCTCCAATCCATCTATATTGTTGCAAAGGACATGATTTTGATCTTTCTGTGCTAGCATATTATTCCATGTTGTCTATAGACCACATTTTCTTTATCCAGTCCACCATCAATGGGCACTTAGGAGGATAGCACATCTTTGTTATTGTGAATAGGGCTGTGACAAATACATGTATGCATGTATCTTTATGACAGAATGATTTGTATTCCTTTAGGTATATGCTCAGTAATGGAATTGGGTTGAATGGTAGTTATGTTTTAAGTTATTTCAGAAATCTCCAAACTGCTTTCCACAGTGGCTGAAATAATTTACATTCCCACCAGCAGTGCATAACTGTTCCTTTTTCTCTGTAACCTCACCAACATCTGTTATTTTTTATCTTTTTAATACTAGTCATTCTGACTGGTGTGAGAGGGTGTCTTATTGTGGTTTTGATTTGCATTTCTCTAATGTTTAATGATGGTAAGCATTTTCCATATGCTTATTGATCACATGTATGTCTTTTATTGAGAATTGTCTGTTCGTGTCCTTTGCTCATTTTTTAATGGGGTTATATGTTTTTTGCTTGTTGGTATATTTAAGTTCCTTATATATTCTGGATATTAGACCATTGTCAGATACATAGTTCGCAAATGTTTTCTCCCATTTGTAGGTATTCTGTTTAGTTTCTTGATAGTTTCTCTTGTCTTGCCAAAGCTCTTTAGTTTTATTTGGTCCTTGGTATCAATTTTTGTTTTTGTTGTAGTTGCTTCAGGAGTCCTTGTCATGAAATCTTTGCCAGGTCCAATATCCAGAATCCTATTTCCTAGATTTTCTTCTAGGGTTTTTATAGTTTTAGGTTTTACATTTAAATCTTCAATCCATCTTTAGTTGTTTTTTGTATATGGTGAAAGAATGTTGTCCAGTTTTATTCTTCTGTATGTAGCTAGCCTGTTATTACAGCATCATTTATTGAAAAGGAAGTCCTTTCACCATTCCTTATTATCAGCTTCATCAATAATCATATGGCTGTAAGTGCTTGGCTTTATTTCAGGGTTCTCTAATCTGTTCAATTGGTCTATGTGGCTATTTTTGTACCAGCACTATGCTGTTCTAATTACTGCAGCCTTATATTATAGTTTGATGTCAAATAGTGTGATGCCGCCAGCTTTGTTCTTTTTGCTTAAGATTGCTTTGGTTATTTGGAGTCTTTTTGGTCCCATATGAATTTTAGAATACTTTTTCCTAATTGTCTGAAGAAAAGCCATTGGCCAATGAATGGATAAAGAAAATATGGTATATATACACCATATAATACTACTCAGCCGTAAGAAAGAATGAAATTTTTTTGCAGCAACTTGGATGCAGACTCAGAAGGAGGAGGGTGGGGGAGGGGTGAAGGATAAAAAACTACATATTAGGTACAATGTATACTACTTGGGTGATGGGTACACTAAAATCTCAGACTTCACCACTATACAATTCACTCAAGTAATCAAATTCCACCTGTACCCCAACAGCTATTGAAATTTTTAAAAAATTAATGTCGTTGGTAGTTCGATAAAAATAGTATTAAATCTGTACATTGTTTGGGTAGTATGGTCATTTTAACAATATTGATTCTTTCTATCCAGAAGGATGGAATACTTTTCCATTTGTTTGTGTCATCTCTGATTTCATTTAGCAGTGCATTGTAATTCTTGTAGAGATCTTTCACCTTCATGGTTAGCTCTATTCCCAATTATTTTATTCTTTTCATGGCTATTGAAATGCTACTCATTCTTGTGCATTGCTTTTGTATCCTGAAACTTTACTAAAGATTTTTTATCAGATCTAGGAGCCTTTGGGCACAGATGATGGAATTTTCTAGGTACAGATTCAAACTGTCTGCAAAGAGAAATAGTTTGACTTTCTATCTTCCTATTTGGATGCCTTTTATTTCCTTCTCTTGCCTGATTGCTCTGACTAGGACTCACAGTACTATGTTGAATACGAGTGGTGAGAGTGGGCATCCTTGTCTTTTTCCAGTTCCCAAGGGAAATGCTTCCAGCTTTTACTCATTCAGTATTATGTTGGCTATAGTTTTGTCATAGATGGTTTTTATAATTTTGAGGTATATCCCTTGGGTACCAAGGTTGTTGAGAGTTTTTAAAATGAGGGGATGTTGAATTTTATCAAAACCTTTTTCTGTGTATGTTGAGATGATCGTATGGTTTTGTTTATGTAACAAATTACATTCATTAATTTGTGTATGTTGAAAAATCCTTGCATCACAGGAATAAAGTCTACTTGATTGTGGTAGATTAGCTTTTTGATGTGTTGCTGGATTTGGTTTGCTAGTATTTTGTTGAAGATTTTTACATCTATGTTCATCAGGAATACTAGTCTGAAGTTTACTTTTCTTGTTGTGTGTCTGCCTGGATTTTGTGTCAGATTGACGCTGGCCTTAGATTTAGTTTAGGGAGGAGTCTCTCCTAGATTTTTTGGAAAAGTTTCAGTAGGATTGGTACCATCTCTCCTTTATATGTGTGGCAGAATTCAGCTGTGACTTTTTCTGGTTCAGGGGTTTTTCTGGTTGACAGTTTTTTGTTATGAGTTCAATTTCAAAACAAGTTATTGGTCTATTCAGGGATTCAGTTACTTCCTGGTTCAATTTTGGGAAGTTGTGTGTTTCCAGCAAATTATCCATTTGTTATTCTGTGTTTTTCTCATTGGTGTGCGTAAAGGTGTTCATACTAGTCCTGGAATGTTTTCGTATTTCTGTGGGTTCAGTGGTAATGCCTACTTTGTCATTTTAGATTGTGTTTATTTGGTTCTTCTCTCTTTTCATTTGTTAGTCTAGTTAATGATCTATCAATCTTATTTATGCTTTCAAAAAACAAATTTATGGTTTTGTTGATCTTTTATTTTTTTTCATCTCAATTTCATTCAGTTCAGCTCTAATTTTGGTCATTTTTTCTCTTCTGCTATCTTTGGGGTGGGTTTGCTCTTGTCTTTCTAGTTCCTCTAGGTGTGATGTTAGCTTGTTAATTTGAAATTAACAAATCTAACTTTGTGATGTGCACTTTGAGTGCTATAAATTTCCTCTTCACATGGCTTTAGCTGTGTCCCAGAGATTCTGTTATGTTGTATCTACGTTTATATTAATTTCAAAGAATTTCTTGATTTCTGCTTCAATTTCACTGTTTTCCCAAAAGTCATTTCAGAAGAGCTTGTTTCATTTTTATGTAATTGTGTGATTTTGAGAGATCATCTTGATATTGCTTTTTATTTTTCATTATACTGTGGTCAAGAGTCTGGATGGTATAACTTTGAGTTTCTTTTGTAATTTCTTGAAAAATTTTTATAGCTGAGCATGTGGTCAATTTTAGAGTATGTGGCATGTGCAGATAAGAGGAATGTATTTTCTGTGGTTGATGGGTGAAGCGTTCTATAGATAGATAGATAGATAGATAGATAGATAGATAGATAGCTAGATAGATATAGATAGATAGATAGATATAGATATATCTGTTAGGTCTATTTCATCAAGTGTTTAGTTTAGGTCCCCAAATATCTTTGTCAGTTTTGTGCCTTGATGATATTTCTAATACTGTCAGTGAGATGTTGAAGTCTCCCACTATTATTGTGTGGTTATCTAAGTTTTTTTTGTAGTTGTCTATGAATTTGTTTGATAAATCTGGATGCACCAGTGTTGGGTGCTTATATATTTAGGACAGTTAAGTCTTCTTGTTGAATTGAAATGTTTATCATTATGTAATTATCATTATGTAATTGAAATGTTTATCTTTTTTGTTCTTTTTGATTATTGTTTATTTAAAATCTGTTCAGTCTGAAATAAGAATAGCAACCCTTGCTCCTTTTTGGTTTTAATTTGCTTGATAGATCTTTCTCCATCTCTTTACTTTGAGCCTACAGGTGACATTGTGTGTGAGGTGGGTCACTTGAAGATAGCATATACTTGGTCTTGCTTCTTTATGCAACTTGCCACTCTGAGCATTTCAAGTGAGCATATAGCTCATTAATGTTCAAGCATATAGCATATAGCTCATTAATATTAATGTGTATGGATTTGACCTCATCATTGTGTTGTTAGCTGGTTGTTATGTAGGCTTAATTGTGGAGTTTCTTAACGGTGTCAATGTTCTATGAACTTAAATGTGTTTTTATGGTGGCTAGTAGTGACTTTTCATTTCCATGTTTAGCACTCCCTTAGGAACTTCTTGCAAGGCAGGTTTGGTGGTAACAAATTCCTTTATCATTTGCTTGTCTGACAAAGATTTTATTTCTCCTTCACTTATGAAGCTTAGTTTGGCTGGATATAAAATTCTTGGTTGGAATTTCTTTTCTTAAGGATACTGAATGTAGGTCCCCAGTCTCTTCTGGATTGTAGGGTTTCTGCTGAAAGTTCTGCTGTTAGCTTGATGAAGTTATCTGTGTAGATGACCTGCCCCTTTTCTCTAGTGGTCTTTAATTTTTTTCTTTTTAATGACTTTAGAGAATCTGATGTTTCTGTGTCTTGAGGACGGTCCTCTTGTATAGTATCTTGCACAGGTTCTCTGAATTTCCTAAATTCAAATGTCAATCTCTCTACAAGGTTGGGGAAATTTTCATGGACAATATCCTCAAATATGTTTTTCAAGTTGCTTACTCTCTTTCCTTCTCCATCAGGGATGCCAACGAATCATAGGTTTACCCTCATTACATAGTATCATATTTCTCAGAGGTTTGTTTATTCTTTTTAATTTTTTTCATTATTTTTGCCTGACTGAATTAATTTGAAAAACTGGCCTTTGAGCTATAAGATTCTTTTCTCAGCTTGGTCTATTATGCTATTAATACTTCTGATTGTGTTTTGAAATTCTTGTAGTGGATTTTTCAGCTCTATCATATCAGTTTGATTCTTAATATGGCCATTTTATCTTGAATCATGTTAGTGGATTAAAAATATGGAATGCTTCACAAATTTGTGTGTTATCCATGCACAGGAGCCATGCTAATCTCTGTATTACACCAATTTCAGTACATGCATTGCTAAAGTGAGGATAATGTTAGAGTTTTGAAATGGCAACAAATTATTTAAAATATCACTTTCTGCAACATTAATGGAAATATTTTTTTAAACAATTTGAGCTATAGAAGGCAATCAGTTTAATTTTGACTACTCAAGGGGAGGAAAGAATAATGAGGATGTTCAGTTCATAATGCTTCATTTTATAATGTGAAGAAGTTTGGGACCTTAAATCTATCAAGTGATGTTAATTAACCCCTTAAATCAGCAACCTCTGGAGCTAGTCTACTTCATATAAATTTTTCAGAACACTGGGAAATAAATTTGAAAAATTCTCAGTTGGTATGTAAAACCCTTTGAGTTTCTTGTTTGGGACTATTGCTTTGGGATCACCTGATTTTTCAAGCAATTTCTTGTGTTAATGTTTCATAGAAAAAGAAAGACTTATCTACCCTCAAAATCCTTTCATCAGTAACAGCTCTCAATTTTCTATTATAAATAAGATACTTGGTATATGAGTATTAAAGGTTATGATTGCAAAATCACAGCATGAGTTAGGATAAGCTTTTAGAGTCTGTTTAAAAAGTAAAGTATTCATTATTGTTATAATGATCAAATAATGAGTGCCCATTCATAAAAAGTATGCTAAGAATTGAGAACAGGCTATAAGCCCTTTGGGGCTTATAAAGGTGGATTTTTCAGTATCTTGTTACTTATGTATGTTTTCTCATAATTTTCTAATTTAGACATGTGAGCTTGGTAGCAAGATAAATTGAAACTAGCAGGAGGCTCATCTTGTAGTATTTGTTCTGCTACTAACTCCCTGTGGGATTTATGTGTATGACTTCTTTCAGCTACAAATTTCTCATTGTAAAGAATGGGCTGTTGGAGCAGGTTATATCTACTGTTTTTCTATCTGTAGCACTCCATGATTCTGTAGCTGTATACTGGTTTGCTAAGCAATTTTGCGAATCATATAATATTCAGTAAGTGGAATATGGTAGCATACTAATAGTTTTTTAATATTATAAATATTGCACTATTATTGTTAGCTTGAACTAACAGAACTTCTAGATGATATGAACTTCTAGATCATAACATTCATTTCAGGACCATTTTTAAAATCAGAAACCTTAATAAAATACAATTTTCAGGACAGTGATCTGGAAATCTCATTTTTAATAAACACTAGCTGATTTTAATCATCATGCAAGTTTGAAAAACACTAAATTGGGCACCATAGGAACTGTGCACCAAGAGGAATTTGGTCATGTATGTGGAAATTTTGGGCTGCAAGTGACAGAAAATCCATCTCAAAAGCCCAAGAGTAAACTATCCTTCAATCTCTAGAAAATTCAGGGCTCAAGTTATGTCATCAGGGTCTAATTTCTCTTTCTTCCACTCTATGTGTGTTGTTTTATTTAAAGTCAGGCATACACTTACCATAGGAATTAACAGTCCTGCTCTAAGTATTTCATCAGAGAAAAAAAATTATCTCAAAAACTTACAAATATACATATCAACATTACTCATTAATAACTGAAATTTGAAAACATCCCAATATGTTTTAATGGGTGAGTGAATAAACATTCTCGCACACCTAAACAATATAATACCTGTCAGAATTAAAATCAAATGAACAACGGATGAGTGTCAAATATATGGCTGCATCTAGAAAGGTGTTTGCTAAGTGAAAGAAGCTGGAAAAAAAAGTTACATCTTATAGGAGTCCATATACATGACTTCTGGAAAAATGCAAATGTATAGCGACTAAGAATAGATCATTATTTCCCAAGGATTAGGGAAAGCAGGGGATCTGACTACAAAGGGACAGGATAAGAAAATTTAGTTGTGGTGAGGGGATTATTCTGTGTCCTGATTGTAATGTTAGTTACATGACACTATGTATTTTTCAATATTTATGGAACTGTACATATTGAACTGTGTACTAGAAACGTTTAAGTTGCTGTGTATAAATGAAAAATAAAATCAACTTATTTATTGACACATTTTCTCTTTGCTGTTACATCATAAACTCAGTAGACATATAGCACAGAAAAAAATATTAATATGATGGAGATTGTTCGTTTCTTTGGGTAATATTACAAGACTTCAATTATGGCCAAATTCTTATTCAAGAAATGAATCATCCATTCCATTCCACATTCAGAAAGGTTCATTTTATTGCCCTTTTACCACGCATCTATCAGTAAACCCATAATTTCAATGTTTAGTACTACTCAGTGACAGTGTAGCAATTAAAAAAGTTAAATTTTGTTCTATAGAAATTTATTACACTTTTTAAATCTTATTAATAAGCAAAAATATTTCAGCTAGTTGCTCTTAAAATTTGGTATGTTACTTTGTTTTTTACTCATACTAGAAACAGGTTAATTTTTTTTCACAATTAGTCCCATTAGCAAGGATTCTGAGTCAGCAAGGAAAGGGCATACATTTTTTATAAATTTCCATAATGATTTCCATAAATGATGTACCTGCACATCACAGTTTGGAAATGTTGTTTTAGTTAAAGCCTTACACTTAATTTTGCAGCCTATGTTGCCTAATATCAATTCATTACAATATAATTTATATACAATATTTTTGTGATGAGATTAAGGCAATGCACTAAGCTTTAATTATCAAGCAGACAACTTCCATGAGGAAAGATGAGAATTTATTAAAACCACTCCACCATACTCCTGTTTCAATTACCTTTTCCCAAGATCTCATTTATCTTTACTCAAGAACATGATGCTACAATGAGCAGAGAACTTGCCTCTGAAATATAATCACTCATAGTTTATACACTTGCTTTTAGAAAAATCTCCAATGTAAGTTTGAATCATAATTTTTTACATGTTTGTGAGCGAATAATTCAATTCTTTCTTTTACTGTATTTTTTAAAAAACTTTTATTTATCAGCTGACCTAAGTAGCCATAATATAAATGCTAAGGGAAACACAGATTTCATCACGGGAAACTTAGCAATGAAGCAGCAGAAATCAGTGGTATACTTACACAGTCTCAAAAGAGAAATGCCTGAGAACATTGAACTATGCGCTTTAAAATTACATTTTATATTATAAATAAAATATTATATATAATAAACACAGATTATTTAAGAGAAATTGTGTAAGAAATAGATTAAGAAACAAGGAAAAATGAAGTTGCTTTTCAAAAGTAATCGGAGACTTCAAAAGTAACTTCAACACTATCATCCATATCAACAAGTAGAAAGCATGTTGCGTCTAGTGGACTGAGCACCAACTCAAATTTTAAAGAAACATTGAAATAGTTAAACAGGTGGTAAGATTCTGATTACTTTCTAACTATATGCACTGTTTTCATGTATGCTACTTTACTCGAATGTGTTTCTATTTAGCCAACATGGACAGGATGCAATTTCTCAAACTTGAGAAACATCAGCCAGGCAGCAGGTTCAACATTCCTCTATACAATTAGAATTAATTTACTTGAAGGGTAAAACATGTGTCAGAAAATCTTCAGTTTGGAGTATTTTGGTTCATCCTCTCTCTCTCTCTCTCTCTCTCCTTCTCTCTCTCTCTCTCTCTCTCTCTCACACACACACACACACACACACACACACACACACAAATATAAAAGCATACACATAATTTTAACTGCTAAATGTTAGGTAAATATTTGTGGTACTATATTTAACCATAATAAGACTATATTTTCTTCTTAGAATAAAAATTATTTCACTTAAAACCTCCAAGTCTAGGAAATCCAGATTACAAGACACACTCATTTTCATGATCATTTTTTAATGTACTCCAAAATTGGCCTAGAACTTTCCTAGATTTGCATTAATCTTTCAAGAACATATGCTCTGAAATAATTTTTCCTTTTGTTTTTCAATTTCATTTATACTTTAGAAAAGTAAAAAGTGGATATATGTTTTGCCAAAGGGAGAATTTTCCACCTCTATCATCTTACTCTTTCCTCAGCCCTTCACATTCTTCAATTAGATATTTATTGCTGTCTGCCAGACATACCCAACAATGTTTTTCATGTGCCTCTACATTTGGAATTGACAGAGGACTTCTAATGGATTATACTACTTAGTTAAATTAGTTAAATTCTAGATTATTTTCATTTCTTTCAATATTCCTTTTATCACTAATGTCAGTCATTGATTATGTATCACTTTTTTGAAAAAGAAAGATAAATATTTAAGTTCATCACAGGAGTTATCTATCATTAGAATATTATAAACAACATTTTAGTATGAAAAGTATGACATAATTAATATCATGTTGAAATACTTAATATTTTAATAGCCATTGGGTATTTGGGGAATGTCTTTTTGAAAAATATTGTGAGAATCTACAACTAAATTAATTAATTGATATTAAGAAAAGTAAAATGTTTAAAGGTAATTAATGCTCTGCTAAAGACTATAACTGCTGATATTTATCTTCAAGGTGTTGATATTTCTAATATCCAAATAGTAAATATATATTTATTATTAGTAATTATTACTATTATTATTACTACTTATTACTATTACTATTAGTAATTATTATTATATCTAATAATAAATACATATTTACTATTTAGTATAAATATACATTTACCATACTAATAGTATTTACTATTTATATAAATAGTAAATACATATATATAAATATATATTTACTAATAGTATTTACTATTAGTTGAGAATGTCGACAGGGCAAGATTGGATAAGAGATCTAGTTAAGTGGCTATGGCAGCTATCTAGGCAAACTTTTAGTGGTGGTTTGGGGCAAGAGGTACCAGTACACATGATGACAAATGACTAAAATTGAGATATCTTGAAGGCAAACCAATAAAATTTTTTGAAAGAATGTATGCGGCATGTGAGAACAACAAAGACAACAAAATAGAAATAGGGTGACTTAAAGGATTATATATATTATTAGTAAATACATATTTACATATTTACTAGTTATAGTAAATATGTAAATATGTATTTATCATTATATATAAGATAGTAGATATATATTTACTAATGTATATTAATAGTAAATATATATGGTAAAGGTATTTTTAAATATATATTTATTAATTTTTACTGTTTACTAATTTCTCCAGAATTTCTTTTTCTGCTTCTATAATTTATGGTAAACAATCCTGATAAATTCTTAACCTCCAGAGAGTATAAATATTCTTAACAGCATGTAACAAAATAACGGGAGATATCTCTGTTAGACAACAGAAACAATTTTATTTGAGTGAGGCTAAAAACATAGATCTTTTAAAATTAGTGTTACTAAGTTAATATTACTTTGGCAAATATTAAGTGGGGGATTTTGATCTTTTTATTGTATCAAGGAACATGAGCTTCAAAATTATTAACATGGTTTACACATCACATGGCTGGACACAGTCATTTTATTAGCATCGTTTCATGTTCTTAATATGCATACTCTGGTTAGAGCTATATGATGCCAGACATCTGAATGTGTAATGGACAAACTGTACTCAACGCTTTTATGTCACTGACAAAACAAATCATTCAAACACATCTGGCCACCTAGCAAAATAATAGTCCACAAATTCTTTCTTTCTGAATATTATTATAAGTGATCTGTCCATAATCCTATCTCAAGTCAACACTTCTATATGTGTACCAGATTTCAATCCCTCTCGCCTACTTCAGGACATCACTCTAGCAATTCTGCCTCGTCTGTCCTTCATCATTAATTGTATGTATCAATAAGACTGTTTCCATTTAATTACAAAAATTTTGTTATTTTTTCTAGCCAAAAAAAGTGAATACTCTATTGATCCAGTTTCTCAGCAATCTCTTTGTTCCCCTTTGCCCCCTTGGAGCAAAACTCCTGGGAAATTGTCTATGGTTACTGTCTCCAATTTATTTCCTGCCATTCACTCATAACTGACTCCATTCAGAATTTGTCCTTTCTACTCCACCAAGTGGTAGAAAGATGTCTCCAGTAAATATGCTTAAACTCAACTCTTCCGCTTTCCCCACAAACCTGGTTTTCAATTAGCCTTCTGAATTCTGTGACTGGCAATTGTACTTGCTCAAGCCAAATGGCCGGAGTCACTCTATTTCTATTTTGTTGCCTTTGTTGTTCTCGCATGCCACATTCATTCTTTCAAAAAATTTTATTGGTTTGCCTTCAAAATTTCTCAATTTTAGTCACTTGCCATCATGTATACTGCTACCTCTTGCCCTAAACACCACTAAAAGTTTGCTTAGATAACTGCCATAGCCACTTAACTAGATCTCTTATTCAATCTTGCCCCCTCTACAGTCATTGCCAACATGTGTGAAAGTGATATTTCAAAACATGAATCAAATCATTTTGCTTATTTCTGAAAACCCTATGAAACTTTCTGTTTCATGCATAGGCAAGTCAAAGTCCTTGTGAATGCTAACAAGGTCCTATATTTTTGTTTTTCCCCTTTCTATTACTTCTCTGACCTCATCTGCTATTGCTCTCCTGCTGTCCCAAGCCATGCTTCTCTCACTGCAGTTTGACCACACCAGTCCCTTTGTTCTTTCTCATCACAGAAGGCCTGCCACTGCTCTATCTCAGGACAATCAAACCAGATATTCTCTATACCTGAGATGGTTTTTATTTTCCAGATGTCTGTATAAAATTGGCCACATTACCTTTTCAGCATGCTTTACCTTGACCACCACATATAAATCGCCAGTTCTGTCTAACCCAATCATGTTTCACTTTACTCTGTTCTTTTTTGCAGTAGCACTCATCTCCTTTTAAAACAATATAAAATATTTATTACATTTACTGCTTATCATCTGTCTCCTTTTGCTAGACTGTAAGCTCTACAAAGGCAGAAGTGTATATCTTGTTCACAGATGTGTCACTGATGATCACTTCGCAGGAGGGAAGATGCCTGGACAGTACCTGACATCAGTAAATACTAAATTACTATTAGTTAATGTGGTAGTCAGAAAATCACCCTACCAAAGATATTCAGTCCTAATGCTTAGGGAACTGGGAATATGTTACCTTACCTGGCAAAGGAGAATTCGCTGATGTAAATAAATTAAGGATGTTGAGATGAAGAGATTATTTTGGATTATGTAGATGACGAATATAATCAAAAAGATCTTTATTAATTTTTTCTTTCCAATGTTTATTTTAGGTTTAAGGGGTACATTTGCAGATTTGTTACACGGGTAAATTGCATGCTGTGAGGATTTGGTGTGCAGATAATTTTGTCACCGAGGTAATAAGCCTAATACCCGACAGATAGGTAGTTTTTAATCCTCACCTTCCTCCTACCCTCCACCCTCAAATAGGCCCCAGTGTTATTGTTCAAAAGGCTCCTTCTAAAAGAAAAAGAGAAATGCAGGAGTATCATAGAGAGAAAAAATTTATGGTTTTACACAGCTGGCTTTGAACATGCTGTTAAGGTGGAAAAAACAAGAAAATGAATTCTTCCCTAGAACTCACAGAAAGGAATGCAGCCCTACCAACATTAGGATTTTAGCCCCATAAGAACTAGCTCAGATATCCAGAAAGATACTAAAGTTGTATTGTTTTAAACCAGTAAGTTTTGGGTAATTTGCTACAGTAACAATAGAAAACAGATACTATTAAACTAATATATTACCTTATAATTCTCCCCATATATGTAATTTTTCAGAGATGTAACATCGGTGTTTGATAAAAAAGTATGCATTCCTGTGTGTTATTTGATATAGTTCATATATATAAAGACAATAAATAAATTGGTTAAGGCCCCTAGAATTATAATAATTATAAATTTGCAAACCATTATGCCATTTGGGATATAATAGTATATTGAGCTTCTTGAAGTATTAAATTTGAAACTTGAAATGTAAGTAGAAATATTTCCTTAAAGAAATAAAAACTGATAATAAATGTTTACCTGGAAATAATATATTACTACCCAATTTTTTTTGTTAAATATGTGCTAGCAAATATCTTTATTTTAGTTCTCAGAGGCTGTGATGCATTCATATTTATAATCAGCATTGTAAGCATTATTTCATTATGAAATCCTGTTTTTATTAATCATATCATGGAACTAGTCTTTCCTAGGATATTGTTTTGGAAAAATTTGTTTAGGCTCAACTTACTGAACATGAATATTTCGCTTAGATACATAGTAATTTAGCCAAGGTTGCTAGTGAATGTAGTGAGCAAGAAGCCACATCTTCGGACATGCAATTTTATTTCACTAAACAAGCCTACTTTACTATGATTAATAAGCCCCCTAGAGTATGGTCCAATGTGTTTAACTTCATTAAAGTATTCTGACATAAACACCATCATGCCCAGAAACACCAGTTAATTGCTTCTTTGTTGTAATTTTGCATTTATTTTTGAAATATATTTTTGCTGAATATAGATTCTGGATTAAAAGTTGTTTTCTTTTCACCATTTTCAAGATGTCATTCCATGTTATATTGGCTTCTGTTGTTTCTGATGAGAATCTCATGGGCATTCTTATCATTGTTTTCTGTGCATATTTTTTCCTCTGGCTGTTTCGAAGGTTTTCTCTTTATCATTGTTTTCATAAATTTGATTTTGTTATGTTGATATTGATTTCTTTGTGCTGATAGATCACATGGAGTCTGAGCTTAAACTTCTGTTCAAATTTTGGAAATTTGGAGTCATTATTTCTTGTACTTCTGTTGCTTCTCCTCTTTCTGAGATTACAATTACATACATATCAGACTCCTTGATATCAATAGCTAGGTCATTACAACTCTGTTTTTGTCGTTATTGTTGTTGTTTGTTTTTCTCTTGTTTTCACTGTACGTCAATTTTGATAAATTCTATTTTCCTGTCTTCAAGTTTACTGACCTATTCTTCTGTATGGAATCTTTAAATATATTCAGTGAAATTTCATTTCACGTATGTATTCTCAAATCCTGAAATTCTATTCATTTTTTAATAGTTTCTTTCACTTATCTTTATATTCATGTTCTCATTAATTATTTGACATATCTATAATAGCTATTGCCACACCCTTGCCTTGTAATTTAATAATCTCTATCATTACAGGGTATTTGTTTATTTGATTATGAGTTCTGAGTCACACTTTCCTGATTTTTTCACATGGGTGGTAATGATGAAAATCATTGAAATGTACACTTTAAATGGGCTTGTTTTATTGTATTCAGTTTATGCTTTTTAAAAGTTGATTAAAAATCACTGCAATAAATTGCCTGGTTTAATTCACTTGTGCTCACACAAACAACTATACATTTTGTGTTTCAGACTTTAGGAATTATTGACAAAAGGAGTAAGAATGTGGAGAGAATTACATAGCTGCAAAGAATGTTTGTCATAGCTGCAATGGGAGTAAGAAGACATTGAAGGACATTGAATAGAAAGTAGAAACACTTTACATCAAAAGGAAAGAAATTCATACTATACTTTTAACAATTTTATCAACCCGCTTATTGATTGTATTAGTTTGCTAGGACTGCCATGATAAAATACAATAGTCTAGGTGGCTTAAATAACAGAAATAAATTTTCTTACAGTTGTGGAGGCTATACATCCAAAATCAAGGTGTCATCAATGTTGGTTTTTGGTGAGACCTTTCTTCTTGGCTTATGTCCAGATGCCTCATTGTGTCCTTACATGACCTTTCCTTTGTGTACTAGTGGAGATAAACAGGACTCCTGTGTATCTTCTTCTTATAAGAATACCAATATTGCTTTAGGACCACACTGTTATAACCTCATTTTACCTTAATTACCTCCTTAAAAAACTTATCTCAAAGGGGTCACTTTGAAACTTAAGGCTTTAACATACTATTTTGAGGGAGGGGGACACAATTCAGTCCATATCATTCTGCCTTCCAGCTCCCCAAAATTAATGTCATTTTTGCACAAAACATACATTCATGACAACTCAACAGCCTCCACAATCTTAACTCATTTTTAGCATCATCTCTAAAGTCTAAAGTTCAAAGTCTCATCTAAATGTCATCTAGAGGATAGAGCAAGGTTGTGAAATAGAGGCCTACACTATTCATCTGCCCTGCAGGGACACCAAATTTTAACAACTACCTGCACACAAATAAGCACCATCACAAAAACCAAAATCACAGTATCTGGTTTTAACTTCATATCACTGAAAGAAGCATTAAGGAGGACAGGATAGACAGTATAAAATCACCAATTCCACCCCTTCATTGTCCTTTGGCAGTGGCTGTGAGCCATCAAGAGAGAGCCTATGCACTTGGAGGACAAAGTGCATAGCAACTGTGGGACGTCGCATTGAATTCATCCTGTCCCAGTGGAGGGCAAAGTTATACTAGGGTCAGCCAGGATGCATGCATGGAGGGAGCACTTGGACCAGACCTAGTCAGAAGGGAATATACCATCCCAGTGGTCAGAACTTCAGTTACTCAGCAAGATTTAATCACCATGGGCCAAAGTGCTCTGGGGCCCCAGGTAAACTTGAAAGGCAGTCTAAGACATTAGGACTGAAATTCCTATGCAATTGCTCATGCTGGGCTTGGCTCAGAGCCAGAGAACTGGGCAGCATGTGACCTTGGGAGACACAAGCCGGAACAGCTAAGGGAGTGCTTAGACCACCCCTAATGCAATCCCAGGCAGCACAGCTCACAACAACAAAAGGGACTCCATCCTTCTGCTTAGGGAGAAGAGAGTGAAGAGTAAAGAGGACTTTGTCTTGCATCTTGGATACCAGCTTAGCCACAGGAGGATAGGGCACTGGGCAAAGTTGTGAGGTCCATTTCAGGTCCAACCTCACAGACTACATTTCCAGACATAATTGGGCCAAAAGGGAACCTGCTTCCTTGAAGGGAAGTACTCAGTCCTGGCAGGATTTATTAACTGCTGACAAAAGAGCCCGTGGGCACCAAATGACCAGTGGCAATACCCAGGTAGTGTGCTGGGGGCCTTAGGCTCTGAGACATACTGGCTTCAGGTGTGACTCAGCACATTCCCAGCTACGGTGGCTATAGGAAGAGACTCCTTCTGTGTGAGAAAAACTGAAGAGCCTTTGGGCTTTAAGTGAACATTGGCAATGGCCTGCCAGAACCCCCTGTTGGTTGTTGTTGGTGGTGGTTATAAGGAAAGGCTGCTCTGCTTGGAAAAAGAGGAGGAAAGAGTGAGAAGGATTTTGCATTGTAGTTTGAGTGTCAGCTTAGCCATGGTAGAATAGAACTTCAATAAATTTCTAAGGTTTTTTACTCTGATCCCTGGCTCCCAGACAGCATCTCTATATGTACATAGGGCCTGGGTAACTTCTTGTCTTGAAGAGAACACAAACCTAGATGGCTTCACAACCTGCTGATTATATAGTCCTTGGGCCTTAAGGGAAAATAGATGTTAGCCAGGGGCAAGATCCAGTGCTGTGCTGGCTTTAAGTATGACCCAGTGGTGGTGATCAAAGGTGTGTTTGCATCTCCACAACCCCAGTTCCAGGTGGCTCAGCACAGAGAGAGAGATACTCCATTTGTTTGGGAAAAAGCAAGAAAAATAAAAAGTCTCTGTCTGGTAATTTAGAATATTCTTCCAGATCTTATCCAAGACCACCAAAGTGGTACCTCTACAAATCTGCAGAAAACACAGAGTTATTGGGTTTGGGGCCCAAGTCCTTTTCAGAAACTGGAAAGCCTTCCACAAACAAGTCCACACTGTGAAGACAGTAAGTACATAACTCTTCAATGCCTAGTCACTAACAAACAACTACAAGCATCAAGACTATTCAAGAAAACATTACCTCACCAAATGAACTAAATAAGGCACCAGGAACCAAACCTGGAGAAAGAGATCTGTAACTTTTCAGACAGATAATTCAAAATTAGCTGTTTCGAGGAATCTCAAAGAAATTCAAGATAACTGGATTAGTCTGTTCTCATGCTACTAATAAAGACACACCCAAGATTGGGTGATTTATTAAGGATAGAGGTTTAATTGATTCACAGATCCACATGGCTGGGGAGGCCTCACAATTATGGTGGAAGGTGAAAGAGGAGGAAAGTCATGCCTTATGTGGTGGCAGGCAAGAGAGCTTGTGCAGGGAAATTCACATTTATAAAACCATCAGATCTTTTGAGACTTATTAACTACCACAACAACAGTAGAGAGGAAAACCACCCCCACGATTCAGTTATCTCCACCTGACCCTGCCCTTGACACATGGGTATTATTATAGTTCAAGGTGAGATTTGAGTGGGGACACAGCCAAACAATACCATTCTACCTTAGCCCCTTCCAAATCTCATGTCCTCACATTTCAAAACAAATCATGCTTTCCCAAAAGTCCCCCAAAGTCTTAACTCATTTTAGCATTAAGTCAAAAGTTCATAGTCCAAGGTATCATCTGAGAAAAGGCAAGTCCCATCTGCCTATAAGCCTGTAAAGTCAAAAGCAAGTTAGTTATTTCCTAGATACAATGGGGGTACAAGCACTGGGTAAATACACACATTCCAAGTGGGAGACATTGGCCAAAGGAAAGGGCTACAGGCCCCATGCAAGTCCAAAATCCAATGGGGCAGTCAAATCTTAAAGATCCAAAATCTTTTTTGACTTCATGTCTCACACCCACGTCACACTGATGGCAAGAGATGGGCTCCCACAGCCTTGCACAGTTCTGCCTCTGTGGCTTTCCAGGGTACAGACCTCCTCCCAGCTGCTTTTATGGGCTGGCATTAAGTGTCTGTGGCTTTTCCAAGCACATGGTACAAGCTGTCAGTGGATCTACCATTCTGGGGTCGGGAGGATAGTGGCCCTCTTCTCACAGCTCCACTAGGCAGTGCCCAGTGGGGACTCTGTGTGGGGGCTCCAAACCCACATTTCCCTTCTGCACTGCCCTAGCAGAGGTTCTCCATGAGGGCTCCAACCTTGAAGCAGACTTCTGCTTGGACATCTACATGTTTCCATACATTCTTTGAAATCTACGCAGGGGTTCCCAAACCCAAGTTCTTGACTTCTGTGCACCCACAGGCCCAACACCACATGAAACTGCCAAGGCTGGGGGCTTCCACCCTCTGAAGGCACAGACCAAGCTGTACCTTGGCCCCTTTTAGCCATGGCTAGAGCAGCTGGGATGCAGGGCACCAAGTCCCTAGGCTTCACACAACAGGGGGACCCTGGGCCTGGCCCACAATACCATTTTTTCCTCCTAGGCCTCTGATCTGTGAAGGGAGGGGCTGCTGCAAAGGTCTCTGAAAAGCCCTGGCGATATTTTCCCATTTTCTTCACAATTAACATTTGGCTCCTTGTTACTCATGCAAATTTCTGCAGCCGGCTTGTATTTCTCCTGAGAAAATGGGTTTTTCTTTTCTATTATGTCATCAGGCTGCAAATTTTTTAAACTTTCATGCTCTGCTTTCCTTTTAAACATAAGTTCAAATTCCAAACCATATCTTTGTGAATACATAAAACTGAATACTTTTAACAGAACTCAAGTAACCTCTTGAATGTTTTGATGCTTAAAATTTCTTCTGCCAGGTGCCCTAAATCATATCTCTCAAGTTCAAAGTTCCACAAATCTCTAGCACATGGGCAGAATGCCACCAGCCTTTTTACTGTATCACAGCAAAAGTCACCTTTGCTTCAGTTACCAACAAGTTCCTCATCTCCATCTGAGACCACCTCAGCCTGGACCTTATTGTTGATATCACAATCAGCATTTGGGTGAAAGCCATTCAACAAGTCTCTAGGAAGTTCCAAACTTTCCCACATCTTTCTGTCCTCTTCCAGACTCTCCAAAGTGTTCCAGCCTCTGCCTGTTTCCCAGTTCCAAAGTTGCTTTCACATTTTGGTCTATCTTTAGAGCAGCACCCCACTACCCAATACCAATTTACTGTATTAGTCTGTTCTCACACTGCTAATAAAGACATACATAAGACTGGGTAATTTATAAAAGAAAGAGGTCTAATTTGACTCACAGTTCCACGTGGTTAGGGAGGCCTCACAATCATGGTGGAAGGCAAATGAGGAGCAAAGTCATATCCTACATGGCAGTGGCAAGAGAGCTTGTTCACGGAAACTCCCATTTGTAAAATCATCAGATCTTGTGAGACTTATTCACTATCACAAGAACAGTATAGGAGAAACCACTCTCAGGATTCAATTATCTCCAACTGGCCTTGCCCTTGACACATGTGGATTATTACAATTCAAGGTGAGATTTGGGTGGGGACACAGCCAAACCGTATCAATAACACAGAGAAGAAATTCAGATCTGATAAATTTAACAACCTGATTAAAACACTTAAGAAGAATCAAGCATAAATTCTAGAGTTGAAAAATGAAATTGACATACTGAAGAATGTGTCAGAATTTCTTAATAGCAGAATTGATCAAACAGAAGAAATAATTAGTGAGCTTGAGTTGAACACAGGCTATTTGAAAATACACAGCCACAGGAGACCAAAGAAAAAAGAACAAAAAAGAATTAAGCATGCTACAAGATCTAGAAAATAGCAAAAAAAAAAAAAAAATAGGCAAATCTAAGAGTTATTGCCATAGAGAGAAGGCAGATAAAGAGATGGTGTAGAAAGTTTATTCACAGTTCATTCAAAGGAAAATATCTATGTGTGTGTGCATATATATATATATATATATATATATATATATATACATATAACATGTATAAAATATATTATATATAATATATATAATATATATTTTTTCAAATACAAGAAGGCTATAGAACACCAAGCAGATTTAACCCTAAGAAAGCTACACACTACACCAAGATATTTAACAAATAAATTGCCAAAAATCAAGGATAAATAAAGGACCCAAAAATAGCAGGAGAAAAGAAATTAATAACATAACACTGACCTCCAACAGGCCTGGCAGCAGATGTTTCAGTGGAAATCTCACAGGCTAGAAGACAGTGGCATGACATATTTAAAGCATGGAAGGAAAAGACTTTTACCCTAGAATAGTATATTTGGTGAAAATATACTTTAAACATGAAGGAGAAATAAAGAACTTCCCAGAGAAACAAAAGCCAAGGTATTTCATCAATACCAGACTTGTTCTACAAAATATGCTAAAGGGAGTTCTTCAATCTGAAAGAAAAGATGTTAATGAACACAAAGAAATCATCTGGAGGTACAAAACTTATTGGTAATAGTAAACACACAGAAAAATACAGAATATTATAACACTGTAATTATGATGTATAAACTACTGTTGTCTTAAATAGAAACACTAAATGAGGAACCAATCAAAAACAAATGACTATAACAACTTTTCAAGACATAGGCAGTACAATAAAACACAAAGAGAAACAAGAAAAAGTTAAAAAATGGGAAATGAAGTTAAAATGTATAGTTTTTACTAGTTTTCTTTGTGTAAGTTTGTTTCTTTATGCAATTAGTGTTGTCATTAGTTTAAAATAGTGGGTTATAAGACAGTATTTGCAAGCCTCATGGTAGCCTCAAATTGAAAAACATACAACTAATAAACACAAAATAAAAGTGAGAAATTAAACTCTACCATCAGAGAAAATCATACAAGAATGATAGAAAGAAGGAAGAGAATACTGCAAAGCAATCAGAAAACAAATAACAAAATGGTAGGAGTAAGTCCCTACTTACCAATAGTGACATTTAATGCAAATGAGTTAAACTTCCCAATCAAAGGATATACAGTGGCTGAATGAAGAAACAAGACTCAATGATCTGTTGCCTACAAAAAATACGCTTCATCTATAAAGAAACACATAGAATTAGAATAAAGGGATGAAAACAAGATATTCCATACTGACGAAAACCAAAAATGAGCAGGAGTAGCTATATTTAGACAAAACAGATTTCAAGACAAAAACTGTAAGAAGAGACAAAGATTATTATATAATGATAAAGTGGTCAATTCAGCAAAAGGTTATAACAATTGTAAATATACATGCACCCAACACTTGAGCACCCAAATATATAAAGTATATATCACTAGAGCTAAAAAGATAGACAGACCTCATTAAAATAATAGCTAGAGACTTCAACACCTCACTTTCAGCATTGGGCAGATCATTCAGACAGAAAATCCACAAACAAATGTCAGACTTAATCTGCACTATAGAATAAATGGACCTATTAGATGTTTACAGAACATTTCATCCAAAGGCTACAGAATAAATATTCTTCTCTTTTTCACATTGATGTATTCTCAAGGATAGACCATATGTTAGGTCATAAAACAAGTGTTAAAACATTGAAATAAATTGAAATAATATCAAGCATCTTCTCTAACCACAGTAAAATAAAATGAGAAATCAATAAGAAGAATAATTTTGGAAACTATACACATACATGGAAATTAAACAGTATGCTCCTGAATGACCAGTGGGTAAATGAATAAATTAAGAAGGAAATTGAAAAATTTCTGGAAATAAATGATAATGGAAACATAACATATCAAAACCTGTACTGAGAAAAAGCAGTACTGAGTGAAATTAACAGCTAGAAGTGACTACATCAAAAAGAAGAAAAACTTCAAATGAATAGCCTAAGAACGGATCTTAAAGAATTAGAAAAGCAAGAGGACACCAAACCCAAAATTAGTAGAAGGAAATAAATAATAAATATTGGAGCAGAAATAAATGAATTTGAAATGAAGAAAACAATAGACATAGCAATGAAACAAAAAAATTGGTTTTTTGAAAAGACAAAATGGAAAACCTTTAGTCAGATTAATAAAGAAAAATAAATAAATAAAATTACAGATGAAAGAGACATTAAAACTGACATCACAGAAATTCAAAGGATTATTAGTAGCTACAATGAGCAAATATATGCCAATAAATTGGAAAATCTAGAGGAAATGGATAAATTCCTAGATACATACAACCTACCAAGATTGAAATATGAAGACATGGAAAACCTAAGCAGGTCAATAACTAGTAACAAGATTGAAACTATAATATAAAGTCTCCCAGTAATGAAAAGCCCAGGACCTAATTGCTTCACTGCTGAATTCTATCAAACTTTTAAAGAAGAACTAAGGAATAACTGGCTAGCCACATGAAGAAGATTGAAACTGGACTCCTTTTTTACACCATATACAAATATCAACTCAAGATGCATTAAATACTTCAATGTAAAACCTAAAACTATAAAAACCCTGGAAGATAACCTAGGAAATACCATTCTGGATATAGGACCTGGCAAAGATTTCATGACAAAGACACCAAAAGCGATTGCAGTAAAAATAAAAATTGAAAAATGGGGCCTACTGCAAAGCAAGCAAACTATCAACAGACTAAACAGAAATTCTAGAGAATGGGAGAAAGTATTTGCAAACTATGTAACTGACAAAGCCCTCACATATAGAATCTATAAGGAACTTAAATATGAAAGCAAAAACAAAAAAAAAACAATAAAAAGTGAGCAAAGGATATGATCAGATAATATTCAAAAGAAGACATACATGCAACCAATAAGCATATGAAAAAATACTTATTATCATTAGAGAAACACAAATCAAAACCACAATGAGATATCATCTCTCAATGGTCAGAATGGCTATTAATAGAAAGTCAAAAAATAACAGATGCTGGTGTGTTGTGGAGAAAAGGGAATGCTTATAAAATGTTGGTGGGAATATAAATTAGTTCACTCATTGTAAAAAGCAGTTCAGCAGTTTCTGAAAGATTTCAAAGTAGAATTGTCATTCTGCACAGCAATTCCATTATTGGGTATATAGCCAAAGAATATAAATCATTTTACCATAAAGACACATACACATGAATGTTCATTGCAGCACTATTCACAATAGCGAACATATGTAACCAACCTAAATGCCCATCAATGGTAGACTGGATATAAAAAATGTGGAACATATAAACCATGGAATACCATGCAGCCATAAAAATAATAAGGTCATGTTCTTTGAAGCAACATAGATGGAGCTAGAGGACATTATCCTAAATGAACTAACACAGGAACAGAAAACCAAATACCACATATTCCCACTTATAAGCGGAAGTTAAAAATTGAGTACCTATGGACACAAAGAAGAGAAAAACAGATACCAGGACCTACTTTAGGGTGGAGGGAGGGAGGAGAGTGAGGATCAAAAAACTGCCTATCAGATACTATGCTTATTACTTATATGGTGAAATAATCTGTACTCCAACCCCTGCCTGACACCTAATTTACTTATATAACAAACCCATACCTGTACCCCTGAATTTAAAAGTTAAAAAAAAAGAAACTAAAAGAAAACAAAAAAGTGCCTTTTAAAACAACAACAAAAGAAAAAAAGAAAGAACTTATACCAATTCTACTCATACTACTTTGAAAAATAAGAGGAGGAAAAAATACTTTTAAATTAATTCTACAAGACCAGTATTAACCTGACACCAAAACCAGACAAAGACACATAAAAAAAGTATAGGTCAATATATCAATTAAATATTGATGCAAAAATCCACAATAAGATACCAGCAAACTAAATAGAACAATAAACTAGAAAGCTAATTCATCAAGGCCAATTGAGATTTATCTCAGGGATGCAAGGATGGGTCAACATATGCAAATCAGTGGATGCGATACATCATATCAACAGAATGAAGGAAAAAATCTATATGATAAGTTCAACTAATGTTGAAAATGCATTTGATAAAATTCAATATTGCTTCATGAGAAAAATCTTCTGAAACAACTAGGTATAGAAGGAACAAACCTCAAAATAATAAAAGCCCTAAATGTTAGACGCACATTTAGTATCATACTAAATGGAGAAAATCTGAAAGCCCTTCCTCTAAGATCTGAAACACAACAATGATGCCCACTTTCACCACTGATATTCAACATAGTAATGGAAGTCCTAGCTAGAGCAATCAGACAAGAGGAAAAAATAAAGGGCATCCAAAATTAAAGAAAGAGGTCAAATTATGCTTGTTTATATAGATGGTATAATTTTATATTTGGAAAAACCTAAAGACTCCACAAAAATCTGTTAGAACTGATGATTCAGTAAAGTTGCAGGAAACAAAATCAACATACAAAAATCAGTAGCATTTCTGTTTGCTAGCAGTGAACATTCTGAAAAATAAATAAAAAGTAATCCCACCTACAATAGCCACAAATAATATTAAATACCTAGGAATAAACTTAACTGAAGAAGTGAAAGATCTCTATAATAAAAACTATAAAACACTGATGAAATAAACGGAAGAGGACACCAAAAAATCAAAAGATATTTCATGTTCATGGATGAAAAGAATCAATATTGTTAAATAGTCATACAGATTAAATGCAAAATAATAAACTGATTCAGTGCAATTCCTGTCAAAATACTAATGACATTCTTTACAGAAATAGAAGAAACAATCCAAAAATTTGTGGAACTACAAAATTCCCAGAATAGCCAAAGCTATCCTAAATAACCACCACAAGAACAAGAACAACAATAACAACAACAAAAACTGAAAGAATCACACTACCTAATTTCAGATTGTACTACAGAACTAAAACAACCAAAACATCATGGTAGTGGCATAAAACCAGACACATAGACCAATGGAACAGAATAGAGAACACAGAAATGCTGCTACATTGGCAGTTAAATCTCCACAAACCTACAGTGAGTTCATTTTTAACAAAAATGTCAAGAACACACATTGGTGAAAACATCGTCTCCTCAACAAATGGTGTCGGGGAAACTGGATATCCATATGCAGAAGAATAAAACTTGTCTCCTCTCTCTTGCCTAACACAAAAATCAAATCACAATGAATTACAGACTTAAATCTAAGACCTCAAACTATGAAATTACTATAAACTATGAAACTACTACATTGCAAAATCTTCAGGACACTGGTGGCCCTGCCTGTCAGCTCAGGATGGTGACTCCACCCCCTGGCTCTTTGGTGTGGCCTCATCCCCACAGCTTTATGCAGAGACCCCCATCTCTGAGGCTCTGAGCAAAGACAGCCTGACCCATTGAAACAAAAGAGATGGCCCTATCCTCTGAAAACAAGAATGAAACAACCTTGCCTTCTAGCCCCGTTGAGGGGAGTGTCTGCCCTAATTATTTCTGAGCCATCTTGAGAGTTACTCCTCCCATTTCTTGAAGGCAGAAGCAAATTCACAGCTAAAAAGCTGTATCATCCTGTCCTGTAGAATCCCAGAAGTTAGAAAACTTATATTTATTTTATCCAATCTCTGTTCACTTTAGTCCAGACTGGCAATGTTCCTATTTGCATACTCCTCTCTGTATTCTTGTTTTCTGCTGAGGTGGCTGATTAACTAGATGTATAATCTCTTTGTGAAGTAATTGTCCGGTGTTCTCTCTAGAACAGGCTTTCTTTTTTCTTTTTCTTTTTTCTTTTTTTTTTGCAATTAGGACAGGCAGTACTTTTTAAATCCTAATATTCTTTTTGGTCAATTCATTCAATTTATCTCCCTGCTCTCACATTTTATCACAAGCAATAAGAAGAAGCGAGGTTCATTCTTCACCCTTAGAAGCTTAGAAATCTACTTTGCTAAATACTCAATGTCTTTATTTGCAAATATACTTTCCAAAAAGCACTAGAACATACTTCAGCTAAGTTTGTTACCACTTTATATTAAGAATCACCTTTGATTATGATTTGAATGTATCCCCCTAAAGTTCACGTGTTGGAAATTTAACTGCCAATGTAGCAGTATTAATAGTTGGGGCCTTTAAAAGGTGACTGGGTCATTGAAGGTAGAGCACTGATTAATTTATTAATGTCATTATTGTAGGAGTGAGTTAGTTTTTGCAGGGGTGAACTAGTTCTCACAAGAGTGAGTTGGTTCTCAAGATAGCAGGTTATTATGAAAGCAAACTTAACTTGCTCTTGAGGTCTTTTTCACATGCTTCACTTACTTTTGTGTTCTTCCACCATGAAATAACACAGCAAGAAAGCCCTCATGAAATGGTACTGCCATGCGCTTGGGCTTTCCAGCATTCAGAACTGCAAGAAATATATTTCTTTTCTTTATAAATTACTCAGTTTATGGTATTCTATTATTGCACAGAAAATAAACTAAGACACCTTTCCTCCGCTTTTCAATAATAAGTACCTCATTTTTGTCTGAGACCTCACCAATATCACCTTTAGTATTCATATTTCTACCAAGAGTCCCTTCAAGGCAGTCTAAGCTTTTTCAGCAGGCACTTCAAAACTCTTGCACCTCCAACCATCACCTAGTTCCAAAGCTACTTTCACATTTTTCACTATTTGTTACAGCATCACCCTACCTTTTGGTACCAAAATCTTGTCTGTTAGGGCAATCATAACAAAATACCAGAGTCTGGGTGTCTCAAACAACAGAAATTTATTTTCTCATGATTTTTGACGCTGTGAGTACAAGATCAGGGTGCTGTTAGTGTTGGTTTCCCGTAAAGCCTCTCTTCTTGGCTTTTAGATGGCCACCTTCTGGTTGTGTCCTCATATGCCCTTTTCTCTGTGCATGTGCAGAATGACAGAGATCTCTAGTGTCTCTTTTTCTCATAAAGGATCTCATATCTGATTCTAGCTATATCAGATTAGAGCCCTTATGACCTCATTTAGCACTATGAGGTCACCCTTATGATCTATTTAACCATAATTACCTCTTTAAAAACCCTATCTCCAAATACAGTCACATAGGGAATTATAGCTTCCACATTTAAATTTGGAAAAGGAATGCAATTCAGTTCATATCATTGTTATTGAGCCAATCTTCATATCTCAGTACTTGTATTAATGTCAATTTGCTCTAGCATTGAAATGGAAATACTTTACAAATTTACTATGAAAAAACGGAAGTTGGCTACTTCTGCTTATTGTAACATTAATTGCTTTGATATGCTTTAATTCTATTTATTAAATGTTTTGCTTTTACAGAGCCTGTTTCTGACTCTTATTTTCTGATCACTCTACACATTTTGTCAGGTTCATTCTGTCTACTACCTAGGATAATTAAAATACATCATATGTTGATGACTTTCAAATAAAACCTGTACATCTAAATTTATCCTGAATATCTGTCCTATTTCAGCTGTAGAAACTTCATAGTTAAATTTTCAAAGATGACCTTACTTCCAACTTTGACCACTGTTTTCTATCTTAGCAAATTTTATCATTTTCTCTTTGTTCCTAATTATGAAACTACAGCAATATATTTTCTTTTTTCTTTACACTCTGAAACTGCATAATCATAATTTTCTATCTACAATTTCTTCTAAATAACTCCTAAAACCATCTATGGTACATCTATCCCTCTCTACTAATAATTTTCAAAATCAGGTCACTATCATTTCTTACTTGGATTCTTGTTACATTCTCGTATAAGAGTTTCTGTGTCTCTATTTAATACATTCTCCAAACTGCCAAATTGTAGTTACGGTCATTATGTAAAGTTTAAATCATTGCATGCCACACTTTCTAACTTGAAGTTGCTAGAGAGAGAGAAAGAGAGAGAGAGATTGGGTAGGGAGACATAGAGAAGATGCTATTTATGGTTAAATGAAGATAATTTTGGTAAATACATATATATTTTTTGAAGCTAAATTATTTTCTTTGTACCTTTATTAATCATTATATGGTTTTATATTGTCTAATAATAATTGTTCTTCTCACAATATGAGATCAATATAAGTAAGACATTGGGTATTTGGAAAATACATAATAGCTTAATATAAAAAGCAATACTAATGCTACCAGTAATTCAGACATTTCAACTGAAACTATTTGTATAAATTTCCTTTGAACATATGAGTAAAACATTATCCAAGATATAGAATATATAGCCTGTGTTTATCTCTCTCTCTTTCTCCCATTCTATTGATTATCCTATACTTAAAAATAAACAGATATATTTAAACAAATTTAGGGTCGTACCATGTATTAGAGAACCTTATATCTGGTTATGAATACCTTGGTCATTAAGATTAGTATGCAATTTGCCTATAGCAATGGGAAAACAAATTTTATTCAATTAGGATTTAGTCATCTTAGATCAATTAATTTTTAGGAATAAAATACAAAATTCTTTAACCATATTGTTAGGCCATAGTAATTTATTTAACAAATAAACATGGACTAGATTGTGACAAATTTTCTTTTGTTATTTTGTCTTTAATGTAACAACTCTTTGACTAGATTGTATATTTGAAGAGTTTGGGAGGTATAGTCCAAAAATATAGTTATATTTTTCATAATGACAAATCCATAATTATTTGCACTCATTAATCATTTGATAAACATTTGCCAGTTAGTAGAAAATCATTTATTTTCACTTGATGTGATTCTTCAAATGCAATTTACAAAATATTTCATCTCTTAAAACATTGATATGATCACAGAAATAAATTAGGCATAATTATTGAATGTATTTTCATTTCTTAAGACAGGCATTATTTTAATATTCTATAAAGATGATTCTGGCATGAATAAAACATAAAAGTCTTTTTAGTTATAAATATATTTTTAAATAAAGTTACCTATTTTTAATATTTTAATATAGGATAGACACTGACATTAATTCTTCTCTCTTTGTTTCTCATATACACACACGTTCACACACTTACTATGGCTCTAAAAACTCACTGCCCACGCAACACCTGCCATTTCAATATGTGTTCATGCGGTGCACAGAATTACTTATAGTTTCTTGAAAATGCTAAACTTTTCAACCATTTATTAGAAATTGTAATTTGTCTTTGCTACTCCATAGGCATGCAACAAAATTGAGTAAATTAAACCTAAATATAGCTTCCTTCATTTTTCATCTTGTCAATTCATTTTTCTAAAGTGTGTCTCATCTTTAATCTGATTATTAAATGGCTTCTTCCAGTTACTAGACTAGACATGCTGACTTATTTAAAAAGATTTTGAGAAATTAAAAATGTTAAATACTGTGATAGTCCTTTTATCTTCCCTCATTTTGTAGTTCCATGAACAGTTACAGTGATTTTCGAAGACAAAAAAAAAAAAAAAGAGGAAGGTGAAAATAGAACCAAAAGAAGAATGTTAACATAAACTTTGGCAGCAATATATTCCTAGTATATTTATTAAATATTTGGAATGTTTTCATTCAGGACATACAATTGGGTTATGAAATATGATATATCATCATAACACATTTATGTAACAATAAAACTTTCATTTAAAATCTAAACTACAATAAATACTTTATGCATTTCAAAATCTAGAATTATTTTCTATAGAAAGATCCATTGAAATAAAACATAGATAAACTGCAGAAAAATCTCATGTTTTAATTACGTGATTATATTTTTCTCTGTATTTTGCCACACTGTGTGATATTTTGTTCTTTTGGTGGGAAGCAGGGAAGTTTTTTCTTTATTGTAATTCCTATACCCTTGTTCCCCAATCTTCTTTTCTATGAGTTGTCTACTTAATTCTCTATTTAAAACTGGCACTGGTCGGGCACAGTGGCTCACACTTGTGATCTCAGAACTTTGGGAGGCCAAGGCAGGTGGATTGCTTTCGGCCATGAGTTTGAGACCAGCCCGGGCAACATAGCAAGCCCTCATCTCTTAAAAAATAAATAAATAAATAAAATAAAAAATAAATTAATTAAAAACAAAGACAAAAACAGGCACTGGAGCTGACTCTCCAGGTGTTTCTTTTCCTATTTGTCTGTGACTTAAAATCTTCTCTGTTCTCTGTTGCTTAGTTATTTTTAGGTGATGGCTAGAAGTGGTTTTGTTTGTTCACATCATTGATTTATTTGTGTTTGTTTTGTTTGGGGGTTTTCTTGTTTGTTTGATTCATTAATATGGTCAGCCATTCAAATTTAGGAGGTCACCATATGCTACGGGAACTTGAAACTTTCCACATTTCCTCTAGAGGCTTTAGTGAATCTTTCAGTGACTGTAACTTAAGGGCAGATCAACTTTTCATTGGTCTTCTAAGACAGAAATTACCAAATCTAGTTCTTTGTCAAAATATAGAGGTAAGCATTAAAAAAAAAAAAAAACCTACATATTTTGGTATCATCCAGACCTACCAGACCTACACTGAAATAAAAGTTACCTTAAGAAGGATCTTAGTTGGCCAGGCGCGGTGGCTCACGCTTGTAATCCCAGCACTTTGGGAGGCCGAGGCGGGCGGATCACGAGGTCAGGAGATCGACACCATCCTGGCTAACACAGTGAAACCCCGTCTCTACTAAAAATACAAAAAAAATTAGCCGGGCGTGATGGTGGGCGCCTGTAGTCCCAGCTACTCTACTCGGGAGGCTGAGGCAGGAGAATGGCGTGAACCCGGGAGGCGGAGCTTGCAGTGAGCCGAGATTGCGCCACTGCACTCCCGCCTGGGCCACAGAGCGAGGCTCCGTCTCAAAAAAAAAAAAAGAAGGATCTTAGTTATATACATTTTTTCCTGATCTCTTAAATTACTTTGACTAGACATACCAAGTGACTTTACTGGTTTTACATCCAGAATTAGCTCAATACTGACGTTCCATTTCTGAGCTCTCTTCTGACCCCAAAACTTTATCACCTACTCTCAATTTTCTCAGAGAGACTATTAATCTACAATTTGAAGGGAAAATCTGATTTAAAATAATTAATCATTCAATTTTATTTCTGTAGTGGTGATGATAAACTCCATAGATTCATTCACCAGTGAAACACCAGAATGGGTGAAAATTATTTTTTAAAAGATACAGTCATTTAAAGTATCTGGAAATTGTCCTAAGGACATATAGCAAAGGGGGAAACACTGATTTTTAAAAAAATCTACTCAATCTCAGTAAAGGCAGTGAGTGGTTGTAGCACTTGAGCCACCATCTACTCCTTTTGTGCTCCCCAATCTCCGTCTCAGGGTGATAGAAGGTCCATTTTGGCAGATGTGGCCGAGATGGGTCTCTCTTCTCCCAGCTTCAAGTCAAAATGGGCTCATTCTCTCTTTAGCATCTCCCTAGGAGTGTCATGCCACTGGAATTTCTCATCCTTCACAACTCAGTGCGGCAGAAACTAAATTCTAAACAAGGAAGGCTCTGAGGTTGAAAACTCCTTTCCTTCACCTGGCATGGACCCTGCACAGGCTCTGTCTCAAGCATAGTGGGCTGTTTGTTATCCTAACCCCAGCTTCCTCATAGGGCAGGTCTTCCGTACTGGGAGTGGCAAGCAAATAAGACCAGAAACTCCTACCCCGAGTTCACATCCTGCTCAAAAATGAGAGGTCCCACACTGAGAAAAGCAGGACCTTGTTCTTTCTTCTTCCTCCAGATCTGGGGCCAGAGATTTTGCTCAAATTGGGAGGCAGACCATAAAAATAGACAGTTTTGAAGATCTCCCAAGTGAATCAATTTTATTTGGAACAGAGTGTGGGTAATTTCAAGTCTAAAAGTATGCTCAAAACAATGGACATTTGGTAGAGTAAGCAATTTAGAGGAAGCTGGTAGCTCCAGGAGAGCAAAAAGCTAAACCAAAAGCCAGCTAGTTTAGCAGAGAGAATCAAGGAGAGAAAGAGATGGAAAGAGCCCTCCTGGGGTTAGAACACATCACAAAGACTCATCTCAAAACTCACCCCTCAAAGTGGCCCAACTTTAATTGAATCAGACTTTGGAGTAATTTGTGCCTGAGGGCATTAACAAAAATAATAGAGCAATTATCCAACAATTAGTGGAGGCAAACAACTGAGTCATGATTCTAATGGAGGGAGACAGTTAAACAGATTATGGAAAGAGACAGCCAAAAAAAGTCCGGATAAATTCACTGTTGTTTCAGGTTTGGGCTGAAGGCTGCAGCATCAAAGAAGCAGCATCAGAGGCTTCATGCTGTAATAAAAAGAACTCACTAAAATATTACAGCCATGCCAGTAAATAAATAAATAAGCAAGCAACAACAAGCTCAAGAAAATTAGAGAGGATAAGTATCCATAATTGCTTCAATATATTATCCAAAATACCCAGAATTCAACAAAAATAAATAAAGGGTCACCCATGCACAGGAAAGAAAGAAAAACAAAACAAACAAACAAACAAAAACACTTAACGAACAGACAGTGCCTGTGAGAAGCCCAAATGCCAGACTTTGCAGACAAAGGCTTCAAAGCAGCCATTGTCATCAAAGTATTTGAGCCAAGATGGTCAAAGAATGAAAGGAAACTACACTTAAATAATTAAAGTATGGTTATAATGTCTCATCAAATAGAGAATATCAATAAGGAGATAGAAATTATTAAAAAGGAACAGATGGTGGGCACAATGGCATTTACCTGGCCTGTAGTCTTAACTACTCAGAAGGCTGACGTGGGAGGATTGCTTGAGCCCAGATCTGAGTCCAACATGAGCAACATAGCTCAGACCACATCTCTTTTAAAAAAGGAAAGAAAAGCTACTGCCAAAAAAAAAAAAAGCCAAATAGATATTCAAGAGTCAAAAAGTCTAAAAACTGAAATGGAACATTAACTAGACATGCTAAACAGCAGATTTGGACTGACAGGCATAAAATCAGCTAACTTAAGATAGATCCTATGAAGGACAGAAAGAATTAAGAATGAAGAAAAATGAACAGAGCTTTGGAGAAATGTGGGATACCATTAAGTGCACCAACTATGGAAAATGGGAACACAGAAGAGGATAGAGAAAGGAACAAACGATTAAAAGAAATAATGTTTGAAATAAAAATTTTAAATTTCTCAAGCTGGATGAAAAATGTTAATCTACATATCCAATAACCTCAACAAACTACAGGATCACACTCAGATACAGTATAATAAAAATGCTGAAAACAGAGTCCCAGAAAGAACCCTGAAAGCAGCAACAGAAAAATGACTTGTCATGGACAATGGACCCTGTATCAGTTTTTCTACTGCTGCCATAAGAAATTACCACAAACTTACTGACTTAAAACAACAAAAATTTGCTGATATGGTTTGTCTCTGTCCCCACCCAAATCTCACCTTGAATTGTAATAATCCCCACATCAAGGGTGGAACCAAGTGAAGATAATTGAATCATGGGGGCAGTTTCACTCATGCTGTTCTGATGGTTAGTGAGTTCTCATGAGGTCTGGCAGTTTTATAAGGGGTTTCCCCCTTCACTCATCACTCATTCTCTCTCCTGACACCATGTGAAGAGGTGCCTTTTGCCAAGTTTCCTAAGGCTTCTCAGCCATGCAAAACTGTGAGTCAATTAAACCTCTTTTCTCTCTGTTTTTAAAACAATTAATCGACATTTAATAATTGTACATACTTATGGTATTTGCTGCAATAAACATACATGTGCATATGTCTTTATAGCAGCATGATTTATAATCCTTTGGGTATATATCCAGTAATGGGATTGCTGGGTCAAATGGTATTTCTAGTTCTAGATCCCTGAGGAATCACCACACTGACTTCCACAATGGTTGAACTAGTTTACAATCCCACCAACAGTGTAAAAGTGTTCCTATTTCTCCACATCCTCTCCAGCACCTGTTGTTTCCTGACTTTTTAATGATTGCCATTCTAACTGGTGTGAGATGGTATCTCATTGTGGTTTTGATTTGCATTTCTCTGATGGCCAGTGATGTTGAGCATTTTTTCATGTGTTTTTTGGCTGCATAAATGTCTTCTTTTGAGAAGTGTCTGTTCATATCCTTTGCCCACTTTTTGATGGGGTTGTTTGTTTTTTTCTTGTAATTTGTTTGAGTTCATTGTAGATTCTGGATATTAGCCCTTGGTCAGATGAGTAGATTGCAAAAATTTTCTCCCATTCTGTAGGTTGCCTGTTCAGTCTGATGGTAGTTTCTTTTGCTGTGCAGAAGCTCTTTAGTTTAATTAGATCCCATATGTCAATTTTGGCTTTTGTTGCCATTGCTTTTGGTGTTTTAGACATGAAGTCCTTGCCCATGCCTATGTCCTGAATGGTATTACCTAGGTTTTCTTCTAGGGTTTTTACGGTTTCAGGTCTAACATTTAAGTCTTTAATCCATCTCAAATTAATTTTTGTATAAGGTGTAAGGAAGGGATCCAGTTTCAGCTTTCTATATATGGCTAGTCAGTTTTCCCAGCACCATTTATTAAATAGGGAATCGTTTCCCCATTTCTTGTTTTTGTCAGGTTTGTCAAAGATCAGATGGTTGTAGATATGCGGCATTATTTCTGAGGGCTCTGTTCTGTTCCACTGGCCTATATCTCTGATTGGTACCAGTACCATGCTGTTTTGGTTACTGTAGCCTTGTAGTATAGTTTGAAGTCAGGTAGCGTGATGCCTCCAGCTTTGTTCTTTTGACTTAGGATTAACTTGGCAATGCAGGCTCTTTTTTGGTTCCATATGAACTTTAAAGCAGTTTTTTCCAATTCTGTGAAGAAAGTCATTGGTAGCTTGATGGGGATGGCATTGAATCTATAAATTACCTTGGGCAGCAACATAGTGTTGGAAGTTCTGGCCAGGGCAATCAGGCAGGATAAGGAAATAAAGGGTATTCATTTAGGAAAAGAGGAAGTCAAATTGTCCCTGTTTGCAGATGACATGACTCTGTATCTAGAAAACCCCACTGTCTCAGCTCAAGATCTCCTTAAGCTGATAGGCAACTTCAGCAAAGTCTCGGGATACAAAATCAATGTGCAAAAATCACAAGCATTCTTATACACCAATAACAGACAAACAGAGAGCCAAATCATGAGTGAACTCCCATTCACAATTGCTTCAAAGAGAATAAAATACCTAGGAATCCAACTTAAAGGGATGTGAAGGACCTCTTCAAGGAGAACTACAAACCACTGCTCAATGAAATAAAAGAGGATACAAACAAATGGAAGAACATTCCATGCTCATGGGTTGGAAGAATCAATATAGTGAAAATGGCCATACTGCCCAAGAAGTTTGGAATTTTTAATCTATTACAGTTTATTGGCTGACAGCACTGTAGTATTTCCACAAAAAAATGGCAATAGTATATCTTTTTAAACAACAACAAAAAAAGACTTTCAATATGTCATATGCACCAATGCACAAAATAATGCATATAATCTATTAGGTTCATGAAACTTCTAAAGGAAATTGATTAATGCTCTAGAGGACTAGAAAACTCTTAAGAACCCTTGAGTTACGGGAAGCATTACAACATCATGCTATATATAAGGCTGGAAGAGAACCAGAAATACATTTATATAGGGAGCTACTTGGAAGTTAGGGCAATGACTCGGGCAATGACTCGAGTCATTAAATGCCCATGTGGACAAGGGTAACAGATTCTTTCCAGTTCTAGGCAAGACACAGAGATCTAAAAACAGGAATGAAATTCATAGTAAGAGTTAGAAGTCTTACTTACATGAATGAAGAAAAGAACTAAGTCAGGCAGAACCAAAACCAATCTAGTTATGCTGTTTAACAAAAGATAACAGACAATGAATAGGATCCTGTTGTCAAGAAAAAAGACTAGCAAGAGCAAGCTAAGTTAATTCACAGTCTCATAACCCCATCAAAAATTAAACAGTGCACTACGTCACTAAAGCAGTGCTACTCAAAGCGATATCTGCAAACCATTGCCGTAGCCATAGTATTATGTGTATCGAGTGTGATAATGGCCTGTGTTTGTGTGACTTTGAAAAAGCTTCTCGCCGGGTGTGATGGCTCACGCCTGTAATCCCAGCACTTTGGGAGGCCAAGGTGGGTGGATCATGAGGTCAGGAGATCGAGACCATCCTGGCTAACATGGTGAAACCCCATCTCTACTAAAAATACCAAAGATTAGCCGGGCGTGGTGGCATGCAACTGTAGTCCCAGCTACTCGGGAGGCTGAGGCAGGAGAATCGCTTGAACCCAGGAGGTAGAGGTTGCAGTGAGCCGAGATCACACCAGTGCTGCAGTTCAGCTGGGTGACAGAGCGAGACTCCATCTCAAAAAAAAAAAAAAAAGTAAAAGCTTCTTTATTTTATTTTACAAAAGTATCGATGCATAAAACTCATACATTAGAAATAAATAATAAAAAGAAAAACATATATTTTTACCACAAATAGATTGAGTGGCACTCATCTCAAAGAAATTGAGCAATCCTTGGTATAAATGCTCAAGGGAGAAGGTCATTGTTAAAATTCAACTAGGTGATTATTGGAAAGGTGAAAAGTGCCTAGTAACTTCTACTTGAAGTGTAGAATAATAGAGTAAATATATGTTAAATCCTCTGCCACTTAGAGTGGTGATTTGTTTACCCCCAAGTTGATTCAGGCATAGGAGCAGGTTGCCTACCTATATTACATGGTTATTAAAAACAACTTAGAGAAAAACTATGTGAAACAGAAATTGACAGAGAAAATAATCTTCTTATCTTTTTTGCTTGACATTTTACCCTAAGTAAAAGATGCTTCAATTTCTTCTGTTATGGTTTGTAAACATTTCCCAAACAAGATAATTTCCCCTGATAAAATACAGATATGCATTTTCCAGACTTTAGTCCTGCAAATTCACAAAACAAATGGAAACAGTGGCCAATTCATAGAAAATTGGATATCATTTCAATATGTTCAGCTTTGCTTCAACCATTTTTAAATATTAATAAATTTGAATTTTTAAGAATTTTTTATTAATAAGTGAAATAATCAGACTGTTTTATTTTTTGTTTTATAGAGATTTCTGGCAAATAAACACATGCTTTTATTCAGGAGCTTGATCATCAGAATTATTTTAGGTGGCACATATTTTGTAAGAATATAATAAAATTTACTTAGAAGTCCTTGAAAAGCTGAGATCATTTACAATAGAGTAATTGGGTTAAATTATAATCATCTCTCAGTTTTGAGTTTCAGATGGCATTGTTAACTTACTCTTAATTATAGTCTTTCAAGCACATCATTATGGCATTATAATAATTTTGACAAGAAATGATGATTAAGTAACTTTTTCAGCTAAAAATATATGGATGAATCTAATGTGCTTATGAATAATAAACTCACAAATTTGGCTGAGGCACATATATTGAAGACAGTTCCTATAAATGATCACTGCTAATGCAATGCTTAAAAATCACACACACACACTTTTAAAATAACAATGTAGGATATTCAAACTTCAAAACATTTTAATTGGTATTAAAATTATTCCAGGCTCTTAACACCCACCAATAATCATCAATGAATGGAATAGAGAATAATGAGTAAGACTGAATAGAAGCCAAAATATAACCGAGAGACTGAATGTCTAATCAAAAGAGAAAGTTTCTCGCTTCCAATTTCTTGTCCCTAACTCTACATAATCTTGACAACTCTCATTCTTTATCCTTTCATCCTTTCATTGACGGTTAATGAGTCTCATAAATGTTAGTTTCTATTTCAGCCTAAAGTAAAACTTAGGCAATGGAAATACAGTATTTGTGATTTAAAGGTTTATAAATGGTGTCACAATTTCAGTACTTTATTAATACCTGATTAAGTTTAGGGTATTTTTTCTTTTTAATATGCCAGGCACTGTTTTTGTAAAAAGTGTGTGGATTTCACAATTTGTCTAGTAATGATCATTAGCAAAATAGAAAGACAAACATAAAGGCAAAATATTCCACTCTGAAATCTCATTTCTGTTTGGTATTCAAAATAAATTGACTAACCAGTCATTATATTTAACACATTGTATTATTATTTCATCCACTGTTCTTCACTATTTTAATTGTGAATTATCTTAGTTATATGTCGTCATGCAATTGTAAAAATTTAATATTGGGAAAGATATGCAAATTTCACTTATCTATAATTTTAAATTTCTCCTTTATTTGAAATTTAGAACAGCACTATGAGAATATTTTTACTGTGTGATTGAAGAATATCTTTTCAAAATGTAGCTAATTTTCTCCACTTATTTCTGCATATTATTCTTTATGTGAAGTATTCTTGAGTCTTTCAATTGCATTAATCCTAAAATTATCTAAAAATTATTCTGTTTAATTTTTGAGGAGATTTTCTACTGAAAGCAATTGTATAGAAATCCATGTAGGGGCCGGGCGCGGTGGCTCACGCCTGTAATGCCAGCACTTTGGGAGGCCAAGACGGGCGGATCACAAGGTAGGAGATCGAGACCATCCTGGCTAACACGGTGAAACCCCGTCTCTACTAAAAATACAAAACATTAACTGGGTGTGTTGGCGGGCACCTGTAGTCCCAGCTACTCAGGAGACTGAAGCAGGAGAATGGCAGGAACCCGGGAGGCGGAGCTTGCAGTGAGCCGATATTGCGCCACTACACTCCAGTCTGGGCGACAGAGTGAGACTTGTCTCAAAAAAAAAAAAAAAAAAAAAAAAAGAACTACATGTAGGCTTCAGGATCATTCAACGACCTTTTTATACGGTATTCTTGAATTATTCATTTTCTCAGTTGACCTTCATAATCTCACCATTTGGGCTACCCTGCTACAGTATCAAGAAGCCTGTATTATCTCTTTTTGAGATTTGAGAATATATAAAATGATATATTATAAAAGACTAAAAATAAAACTAATTTGTTAATTTATTATATATTTATGCATATATAATTAACATATTCGTATATATTATACATAACATATATTTACTAGTTTTGTTTATATATATGCACGCTATGTATACACACATATATTTATAGGCATTATCGTATCAGAATTTGAACTTTTCTTAACTCATTGGAGATCAGCTATTTGCCTTTATATTTAAAGATTCTATAAAGTGGGGAGAACTTTTTTGTTGTTCCGCTAAAAGTGGGGAACCATTTTTATGACTAGTATCTTGTGTTCCCTCAGGAAATTCAAGCTAGAACAATAAATTATAATAAAATATATAGGTTTAAAAATATTTAAATAAATTATTATCTCATAGCTTCTAAAATGAAACTTTAAATTTTAAAGAGTACATAATGCTTAATTTTTAAGAAACTAGCTAGTAACTACACATAACACCTAATATGACTCTCATTTTTTTCTGTTCTCTACAAATGTGTATAGAAACTTATGTTCCACAGAAGGCCAGATTCAATCAATCTGGTATATAGTTTTGCCACTCTTTGAGAAGAAACTCAATATGCTATTCCATATGGAAGTTTTTAGCCAAAGAAACAATTTTATTCAATATTCACCACAATTTTATTTTTTCTTCAACTCCTACTTGATTTTAGTATTTTTAAGATTTTCTCAACCTTTTACACCCCTGCATTTCCAAAAATTTATATCCAGTATAATGTAACATGTGAATTTAAAAATGGGAAAGTTGATAGTTATACCTCAGTGATGGCTAATTTTATATGTCAGCTTGACAGAGTGACATTTTACAGAGTGCCCAGGTATTTAGTTAAGCATTATTTCTGGGTGTGTCTGAGAGGGCATTTCTGTATGAAATTAGCATTAGAATCAATAGACTCTAGATTTATATTGGGAGAAGACTGTCTTCCTCAGTGTGGGCAGGCATCATTCAATTTATTGAGGTCCTAAACAGAACGAAAAGTTAGAGGAAGGAAGAATTTGCTCTCTCTGGCTGACTGCATTAGCTGAGACACTGGTCTTCTCCTGTCCTCAGCCTGGGACTTACAAGATTGGTTTTCTGATTCTCAGGACTTTTGTTTCAAAGTAAAAGCATACTACTAGTTTTCCTATGTCTCTAGTTTGCATAATCATGTGAGTTATTTCCTTACACCATATATTATAGGTAATATAGTATGAGAAATGTACGCACATGCGCACACACACATACCCCACATACGTATTACCGAATTGGTTCTGTTTCTCTGGAGAAACCTGGCTAATATATCACCTGAGCATGATTCTGATTTAATCAAATCTCTGTCTTTCAGAAACTATTAACTTTTTCTAAAATAGTTCCCCTTAAGCAATATTTACAATTGCATTTAAATATACCATGTCAAGCAATGTAAGCAGAAGTTTTCTTGTTGAATGTACTATCTCCTCTTTGCCATTACTCTTATGTTCTCTCTATTTTTTGATTGTCACTATTTGGAATAGCTCGGGAATAATCAGTAACCATGGGAGTTTCATTGTCATAACAGGAGACAGAAACAAACATAATATATTCTTCAGTATGAAGACTTTAAATCCAACTCAATCCGTTACCTAAGCCACTGTCCTTCAGCAGTTATTTTCAGAGATCTCCAGAGACTTGTGGGGCAGAAAGGGGTATGTAAAAGCTGGAGACCTGAACTATAAATAATTAGAATACAAAAGAATTGTGAGCAAAAATCCTCAATGTAATTATTAACTGTTAACACAGCAAACAGCACCTGATGCCTGCCTTTCTCACAGCCCAATCCTCCTGGATCTCTGAATTATTCCCCCATCCCTGAAAAATGCCAGATGTTGTTTTTGCTCAAGCACCCTCATGATCTCTCTCATCCAATTGACCTAAAGAAAGTGCAATGAAAAAGTCTCTAAATTAATATCTCAAATTAGCTTAGACTGGACTTAGATAAAGATGTTCCAAAAAGCTTTTTCAGAAATTAAAAAAGTGATAGTCTTTCTTTGTTTTTATAATATTTACCAAATTTTTCTTGAATGATACTAAAAGTTACAGTCTCCAGCAGAATGTATACTATGTAATAGTACGGGGTAGCACCATAAATGAGAAAAGTGCCAGAAGTATGATTGTTGAATCTATAAATGAATCTTTATATGTGTAACTTAAACATTCCTATAGCTTCATTTAAAAAAATTTTGGTAAAATCAGGTAAAATAATGGTAAATATTATGGCCATAAAAGTTTACAAAGTGCTTTCCAATATTCTGCATATTTAATTTATTCTTTATAACATTTCTGTGGGATGTTTTACCCACTATAATTCATTCAAAAATAAACTAATACTCAGGGAACTTGGGTAAATTGTTCATGGCAACAAAGTATAATATGATGGTTTACTTTGTGTGTCAACTGGATGGGGCCACGGGTGTCCATATCTTTGGTCAGACACATCAGCCTCTCCAATACCTTCCACCTAGGCCAGGCAGAGAAAGGCAACTCCTGTCATTCACTGTAATGTGTAACCATTAGAGCAGCATCTACCTTGGTATCTCACGATCTTCATCTGTAAAAGGGATAACCATAGTCATTGGTGGGATGCCAAGGGAAAGAGGCAGAACACAAGTCACACTGGAAACTATATTTTATAGCTTTGTTCAAAACTATTTTGGAAGCAAGAATATTTCTTCACATCAATTTTAATGACTAATAGTACTATAGCACATGCAACACCAGTTCAGGGTAATAAATTTCTAATAAATCTTTCTGCTACTAAAAAATAAAATGAACGTGTGTGTGTGTGTGTGTGCGTGCGCGTACTTATATGTACATTCTTTTAGTTCTGTTTTGCTAGAGAACCCTGACTAATACACAGAGCTATTAAAAGTTAGTACTAAACACAAGCCTAGTCTCAGGTCTTTTGGTACCAAAACCTGTCATTTCCCACCACACCACAGTTCCTTTTGAACAAACCATTGCTTCCCCTCCCATTAGGATGTACAAACAATGGATAGCCCTACCTGTCTCAGGTTCTTCTCATGCAAGGGGAGAAAGTAATGGAGGGAGAAAGGAAGGTAGCAAGGAAGGCAACAAAACTTACCTTTGTTAGTTCCTATTATGAGTCATATACTTTTCTCTGCTTTTTACACAGACAACATAATTTCAGGAGTTCTCACATAGTGAGTCTACATTTACGTTGTAGGATTAACAATACTGAAACTGCTCTAGACTGGAGTAATGCCAAGATAATTAAACAATCAGGCTGGATGTAGTTATAGGACATTTACAGAAGCAGATCAGATAAACTGAAAATTCAACAAGCAGAATTAAATGAATTGCTATATCATACATTACATCCTAAGCATTTTATAGCAATATCAGGTCCAAACAGGTAACAAGAGAATCAAATCTAAATTGAGAATGGTTTTATTCACAAAATACCTAAGTATTTTTAATGATGATCAGATATGACAGGAATGAAAGGTCCATTTTAGTAATAATATTAAATAATGATTTATAGAATTTGCAAAATTTTGGGTGCAGAATGGGAATCAGATTTTTACACAATGCTTAGGGATATATACCAGCTGATTAGATGATTTGATTGGGAGATACCATGACCCAAGAACTAAATATTATTGCCATTTTCCTTATCTATCATGGCATAGTCACACTGACTCTTTCTGTTCCCTTAATAACCAATCTCTTTCTTTATATCATTTTCAATAGCCATATCTGCTACCTGGATTTCCCTATCCTTTGAAATTCTGTTTGAACCTTTCCTGTCATTTAGATTTCCTTTGAAATGTCACCTGGCAAGGGAGTTCTTCCCAGATCTTTAAGTAACCACCAGTAATTCTCTATGCATCAACCTATTATAATCTATTGCTTAGTTCTTACTATCTTTCTTGCTTGTGGATTTTTTTTACACACCTTACCTACAAATATCCCAACCTTTTTCTTTTTGTGTATAGCTTCATTTCCTGCATTTAGAAGCTTTCTACTCTGTAGTTGTGTAGTCAGCAAACACATTTCCAATAGTATTTCTCAGCTCTGTAAGTTGAACTGTCTCTCCTGTTATTATAAAACATGTGTGTTATAAAAAATTAAACAATCACATAAAACCTATTAGGATTTCTGCTTTTATGAAACAATATTTTTTGGATGTTTAATACTAAGGATATATTTAAGTTTTGTGTTTCTTAATTTTAAAAATAACAGATTTTAGGAATTTATTCTAAGAACTACCTCCCTATTTTTTATTGCTATTCTTTCATATTACCATGGAAACAGTACCTATTTTTATACAGTCAACAAATATTTGTTTCATGAATAAGTGTTCTGAAATGGCAACATGAGGAGCTCCACGGAAATCCTCCATGAAACTGGTGAAATTTATATACGTTAAGAAAAGGTCAATGTTAAATCTATGGGTATGTTTCTAAGAGTGTACAGGAAATGAAGAAACATTTATTCAAGAAAATCGACTAAAACTCAGTAAAAACAGTGAGAGTCTGTGATATTAGAACTATGATCTACAATGTCCTTTCTCACTCCCAGCAGATTATGACTTCCATTCCAGGTGAGTATAACTAACAATACAGGTTCAGGTTATTCTACCCCAACTGCCAGCTGTGAGCTATGGCATCTTTGTGTGAGAGGTAGGAAATCAATCTTTTTTATTTCATCCTTCATCCTTCACATTCCTGTTTTGGAGACTAAATTTTGGTTGACTTTGCCTTAGATGTTGGTATCTATCTTCTTCCACCCCTCCCAAACCTGTGGGACAGAATGTCTACCTTGAGAACACTTGTTAAGGATATTAGGATCCTGAATGGCTTCACATTGGCTCATTCACAGGATGAAGGTTCAATGATGGAAGAAGCAAGAAAAGAGCAGAAATGTCAATCAAAGAGAAGCAGGACAGTGTTCCCGCTCCTAGATCCAAAGATGTGACCTGAGTTTTTTTTCCCCAGAGGGGACAGTCAGGCCATAAAAAGTGAGCTCAGAAGCTTTTCCTAAAATAATTGTCATTATGTGAAACAGAGTGTAGGGAACTTCAAACCTAAAAGCATGCTAAAAAATTATGAAGTTTTCAGTGGAAAGCAATTAAGAGGATACTAATAATTTCATTAGAGGTATAAGTTAAATCACAGAGCAACAGGCTTATCAGAGTAACCAAATGAATAAACAGTTAAGAAGTGCTCTCCAAAGATCAGGGCAAACCAAAATGTTGAACCTAAAAACTATTCATGCAAAAGATCCCAGATTAACTGGATTAACCTGTGGAGGAATTTATGCTCCAGAACACATTAAGAACAACAGAATAATGAGCTGGCAATTAGAGGATATTAACATTTGGTTGTGGTCAGAAAAAGAGACAATCAAAGAAAGCCCTACTAAAACAACTGTCATTTTAGGCTAGTTGTGTACATATCCAAGGCAGTGAGATTTGAGGAGCAATATCAGAGGCTTTTAGTGGGTGGAGGGAGAAAAGGAATAGACTGTACTGAAGTTATCCATCTAGTCATGAAACAAATAATTAAATGAATAACTAAAACAGGCTTCAGAGGGAGGAGAAAAAAACAATGAATAGGGTTATTGGAATATATTATCTAAAATTTTTAGTTTTCTGGAAAAAAATTATGAGACATTTAAAGATAAACACAAAAAATTTGGCCCATATAATGAAATAAATTTGAGCAAAAGCAACTGCATGTGAGAATTATTAGAGGTTGTACTTAACAAACAAAAGGTTCAAAATAGCCATTATACATATATTCAAAGAAGCAAAATAAATGATGCTTTAAAAAGTAAAGGAAGGCATGATGATATGATCTCATCAAATAGACAATATCAATAAAGGAACAGCAGTTATAAAAGGAACCAAATTGTAATTCTGGGGTTTAAAAACCCAGCAACTGAAATGAAAAAAATCACTAGAGTTGATCAACAGTGGACTTAAACCTGAAGAAGAAAGAATAAATAAGCTTGAAAAATAGATTGATAGAGATTATACAATCAAACTAATAGAAAGAAAAGAGAATGAATAAAAGTAAACAAATTCAGATAAATGTGGGGCACTATTAGGCACACTAATATACTTTTAATGGAATTACTATGGATGAGAAGGAAGAAAATAATTAGAAAACAAGTTGTAAAAGTTGGAAAGCTTTCCAAATTTGATGAAAGACATGAATATACAAATTTAAGGAGCTCATTGAACACCAAGTAACATGAAAACAAACAGAGACACACACAGACATATCATGGAAAAGTACAGAAAGTCAAAGCAGAAAATTTTGACAAGATCAAGAGAAAAATGGTTTCTCATCTACCAAGAAACTCCAATAAGATTAAACAACTGACTCCTCATCATAAAAATGGAGGCCAAAGGAAGTAGAGTAATATATTTAAAGTGCTGAAAGAAAATACTGTAAACCAAAAATTTTACCTAGCAAAACTATCTTTCAAAAATGAAAAAAAAATCAAAACATTCACAGGTAAACAAAACCTGAGGGAATTTATCACTAGTAGATACAATTTACAAGAAATAACAAAGGATATTCTTTAGGCCAAAAGCAAATGACTCCAGACAATAGTTCCAATCTACATAAAAAGAAAAACAAAACCAAAGGCCTCCAGTAAAATTAACTGTGTAATTATTAAATATAGCAAATATGCATATGTCTTCTACTTTTTTCTTCTAATGACTTAAAAAGGAAGTATATAAAACTATACACACACACACAGACAGATATATAAAAATAAAATTGTATTGATATGGTTCAGATCTGCGTCCTTCCTCAAATTTTACATTGAATCGTAATCCTCAGTCTTGGAGGTGGGGCACAGTGGGAGGTGATTGAATCATGGGGGTGGTTTTTAATGATTTAGTATCCATCCCCCTAGTGCTGTCTTGTGATAGAATTCTCATTAGATCTGGTTGTTTAGAAATGTGCGGCACTTCTCCCCATTTTTCTCCCTCCTGCTCCAGCCATGTCAGACATGCCAGCTTTCCCTTTGCCTTCTGCCATGATTGAAAGTTTCCCAAGGCTTCCCCAGAAGCAGATGCCAGCATTATGCTTCCTGTACAGCCCATGGAACCTTAGCCAATTAAGCCGTTTTTCTTTATAAATTACCCAGTCTCAGGTTTTATAGCAGTGTAAGAACTGATTAATACAACTACAAAGAAATTGTGTGGGAGGTAAACTATATTGGAGTAGGAAATGACACCAGGTGGTAACAGGTATCCACAGGAATAAAGAAAACCACAAATAAAATATAAGAAAGTTAATATTACCATCTATATAAATACATATTTGCTCGCCTCTCTTCTCCCACTTGTTTAAGAGACATATAATTATATAAGGTAATCATAGTACAAATGTGGGGAAAAGGGAATAGAGCTATATTAGTATATTGTTACTAGAGCTCAGTGGAATTAGGTTAGTCTAAATGTGAAGTATCAATGTTAAGATATATATGGTAAGCCCTAGAACAACTAATAAGAAAACAGCTAAAAAAATAGATATAGCAAACAAATTGAGGTGATTAATATGTTACATTAGAAAATATTAATTTAATGTATTAAAAGGAGTAAATAAAAGAATATAAAACACATATAGAAAACCAAAAGAAATTCACAGACATAAATCCAACTATATCATAATAACATTAATTGTGAGTAGATTAAAATCTCCAAATGACATACATGGTCAGAGGGATTTAAAAGATATAAGATCCAGCCATATACTTACTACAGAAGACAAACTTTGGATTCAAAAAGAGATCATGAAAACATAAATTATAAGAAATATGGAATGGCCGTAAAAAATTTGGTCTCTAAACCAAGTAAATATTACTAAGAAAAAGATACTTATTTCATAGGGATAAAAGTTTAATCTATAAGTTGGATGTAACAATCGGACACTTACAAAACAGGGCCCCCTCCCCCAAAAAATGAAAAATAAAACTGACGAGAAGAAAGAAAAAGAGAAAGAAATGATAATTTAAAAAATAGAGAATTAAACACTTTCAATAATGGCTAGAACAACCAAGCAGAAGATTATCAAAGAAGTAGAAGACATCAACAATACTCTAAACCAACTAAATCTAACAGACATTTCTATAATACTGCAGCCAACAATAGTAGAATACACACTTTCCTCAAGTGTACCTGAAACTTTCTCCAAGAGAGACAGTTTATGACCATTAAACAAGTCAAAATAAATTTTAAAGGATTCAAATTACACAAAGTATGTTCTCTGGTCACAATGCATTGAACATAGAAATCAATAACAGAAATCTGGTAATCCCATAAATATATGAGTACTAGATAACGTACTCCTAGATACCTAAGAGGTCAAATAAGAAATCACGAGAGCAATTGGAAAGTGCTTTGAGATAAATAAATGTGAAGGCACACCACACCAAAAGTTATTGGAATCATGTAAAGCACTGCTTGAAGGAAAATTTATAGTTGGAAATATCTACATAAAAAGCAAGAATGATTCCTAATTAGCCTAAACTTCCACTTTGAGAGACCGAAAAAATAAGAGCAAATTAAACCTGAAGCAAAAAGAAGAAAAAAATACATATTAGGTTGGAAATTAATATAATAGAGAACAGAAAAGCAACAGGGAAAATAAAGCCAAAAGTTGGTTCTTTGAAAAAAAATTAACAAAATAAGCAAATATTTAGCTATATTGACACACACACAGACAAAGCAAGAAAGAATATTAAAGTTACTAGAATTAGAAAGGAAATAGCACTACCTTACAGAAATGTATATATTTTTATATTTATAGTTATACATCTTAAATATACATTAATAAATGTATGTATATTATGAGCAATTGCATGGCAATGAATTAGATAGCTTAGATGAAATGGATACATTCCTAGAAAGACACAAACTACCAACACTGACACAAGGAGAAAGGCAATTGAATAGACCTGGGCAAGTAAGAAAATTAAATTATTAATAAACAATAACTACCTCAATAAATAAAACAGGTTAGATGGCTTCACTGGTTTATTCTACCAACCATTTAAAGAATTAATACACCCGGCATGGTGGCTCACTTTGGAAGGATCTCAGCACTTCGGAAGGATGAGGCTGGAGGATGTCTTGAGCCTAGGAGTTTGAGACCATCCTGGGCAACATAGGGAGACTCTTTCTCTACAAAAAATTAGCCAGGTATGGTGGTGCACACGCGTAGTACCAGCTACTTGGGAGGGAGGAACGGCTGAGACTGGGAAGTCGAGGATGCAGTGAGCCATGATTGTGCCACTGCACTACAGCCTAGGTATGAGACAGAATGAAACCCTGTCTCATATATATACATATATTCCTCACAAACCTCCAAAAAAATAGAAAATGCTTCCTAACCTACTTAACCCTAATACCAAAGCCAAACAAAAACATGAAAAGAAAAGGAAACAACAGACCAACATCTCTTATGAATATAAATGAAAAAAAATCCTTAAAAATATATTAGCAAACTGAATTCAGTACCATAGAAAAAGAATTACTCACCATGATCAAGTGACATTTATTCCAGGAAAGCAAAAATGTTTCAGCATATGAAAATCAATCAATACTATATTAATAGTATGAAGATAAAAAAACAGATGATTGCCTTAATTTGTGCAGAGAAAGCAATTGGCAAAATCCAATATTGCTTCATAATAAAAACACTCAACAAACTAGGAACACAAGAGAAAGTTCTCACCCTAAAAAAGGGCATCTACAAAAAACCTCCACTTAGCAACATATTTACTAGTGAAAACCAGATGCTTTGTCTCTAAGATCAGGAATAAAAATAACATGTCCACTCTCACCATTTCTATTTGACTTAGAATTGGAAGGTTTAAGAAGGGCAATTAGACAAGAAAAAAAAGAAGCATCTATATTAAAAATGAAGAATAAAACTATCTCTATTCACAAATGGCATGATCTTGTGTAGAGAAAATCTTTAAGAATCTACTTTGTGGGCTTTTAACTTTTAAATGTTATAAGTGAGTTCAGAGAGTTGCAGAAAACAAAATGTAAAAATCAACTGTACTATATAAATTAGAGAGAAAAATCCAAAATAAAATTAAGAAAACAGTTATACATGCAATAGCACCAAAAAGTAAAATTCTTAGGAATAAATTTAGCAAAATAATTGAAAATGTCATAATGTACATGAAAAACTACAAACATTGCTGAAAGGTGTTCTAGATAAATAGATGTTCTAGATAAATAGAAAGATATCCATGATCAAGAATCAGAAGACCTAATATTGTTAAGATAGGATACTCCCCAAATGATCAATAAGTTTTACATAATCCCTTTCAGAATCCTAGCTGACTTTTTGTAAAAACTGACAAGTGGATCCTAAATTTATATGGAAATTTAAGGTACCCAGTATAGTTAAAACAATCTAGAAAAGAACAAAGTTGGAGTACTCACACTTCCTAACACACTTCCAAAATAGTGAGGTCCTGGCATTAGGATAGACACATAGATCAATAGAATAAAATGAATAGTCCAGAAATATACAAATACATCTATGGTCAATTGATTTTTACAAGGATGAACAGACCATTCAGTGGGGAAAGGATGGTCTCCTCAAACGGCTTTGGGACTACTGGGCATATAGATGCAAAATAATGGACTTGGATCCTTATCTCACACTGTGCACAAAATCAACTTAAAATGAATCACAGACCAATATGTAAGAGCAAGAAGTATGAAACTCTTATAAGAAAACCTGGAAGTAAATTTTTATGATCTTGGATTTTGCAATGATTTTTTACATTTGACACCAAAAGCACGAGCGACAACAAAATATCAAATAAATTGGGGGTCATCAAAATGTACACTATGACCACTATTAGCAAACTTTCCGAAAGATAATACACCACTGGCCAATGAGCACATGAAAATATGCTCAATCTCGTTACTCATCAGATGAATGCAAATTGAAACCATAAGAAATAACCCTTCACACCCCTGAGGTTGTCTATAATCAAAATGACAGATAATAAAAAGTGTAAACAAAGACATAGAGAAACTGAAACTCTCGTAAACTACTGGTGGAAAGATAAAAATGGTGCAGCTACTTTGGAAAACATTTTGACAGTTCTTCAAAAAATTAAATATAGAATTATCATTGGACCCAACAATTCCACTTCTAGCTATATATATCCCCCCCCCCCACCAAGTGAAAACATATAGGCTTGGAAAAACTTGCACACGAATGTTTAAAGAATGGATTATTCAGAATAATCAAAAAGTGGAAACAAGTATCAAGCAACTAATTAGTAGATAAATAAAATATCATATATTCATACAATGGAATACTGTTAAGCTATAAAAAAGTGAAATATTCATGCATGTTTCAATATGATGAACCCTGAAAACATTATACCAAAATGCCAGACACAAAAGATCACCCATAATATGATTACATCTACATGAAAATCCTGAATAGGCAAGTTATAGAAAGAGCAGCTTAGTGGTTGTCTGACTTGGAAATACTGGAGTGATAGATAAAGGGTATGGGCTTTCATTTTGAGGTGATCAAAATGCTCTAAAATTGTGATAATGGTTATATAACTCCGAGAATTTTGCACTGCACACTTTAAATGGTTAAATTGTATGTTTTGTGAATTACCACAACAAAACTTTCAGTATATAAAAAAGTACGTGTGTGTATACTCCCTCCATATATACATATAAGACTTTCTATACAATCATATAGACTTTCAGGATGAATGTGATGGTCTAATTGGTCCATGCATTTGATACCCACATCTTCAGTTTTCTAACTGAAATAGGCAAAATTCTTTATCACTAATGAGAATTGGAAAGATATACGACCCACTAGGTACCTGAAATTGTGAGTGTGAGAATGATATGGCCTTTGAGAAGCCAGTAATATAAGTATTGATAAATCAGGATTCTTTCACTAGTTCGAGAATAATAAGAACCCACATTTGTCCACATTCCAGTTCTATGGTGACTATTTTATTGAAGTATTAAGAGAGCAACACACAAAAGACTGATAGAATTCATGGAAGTAGCAAAGCACGAAAAAGAGAATGGGACACTAAATATGTATGTATACGTAATATGTAATATAATGGACAGCAAGGTTTATTCAGAATTGCTTCTCCTGTCTGTAATTTATGTTATTGGTATAGGGTCAAGTCTGTAAGGTTCAGCTCTTTATCACCTTAGGATAAATGTTCCTACAAAAAAGACATCCATACCTCTTCCTATTTGTAAACAGACTCTTGTCTGCCTAAATAAGCCCATAGATAGTCCTTTAATGTATGCTTGTTATGTCTAAAACTCCTAAATCTCATTCCTTTTCCATGAAGAATTTTGGCCACCTCTAAGTAAGTTTCTAGTGATCCCTAGGTTACAAGATTTCCCCAAGCAAATCTGAATCTTACTTATGCTAGAGAACACACACGTGTGTTTTTGTCCCCATATGTGGACAATGTGTTTGTGTATAGACAAATACACACACACACACACACACCTATCAGGGATGAGGGAAGGAGAGAGAAAGTAGCTGACAAGTCTTTCCTTTGAGTAATATGTTATGTTGTTTTATTTTAGGCTTCACACTTGAATACAATAATGTAATTCTAAAAGTAAAAATATGACTTCTGAATTTGGTTTCCTATTCATGAGCCATTTTTGTATCATCCATCAAAATACCATATTATCATCATGTACAACAAAATTAAGTTTCAGAGGTAAAACTTTTGGTTGTTAAAGAATAATGATGAAGGCAGAAAAAAGTTAAACAGGTTGTTATTGGCCTGAATTGTAAACAATTTCAGATAATAAACACTCAGCTTATCAATGGTACGGAGTATTAATATGCATTCTTTATTATCTTCAAAAAGCCACTGAAATAGTTTATAAACTTTAAGAAATTTATAACAAACAGTATACTTAGAGATTACACTTGAAATTATTTTGCATTAGTTAATCATTTTTCAGTTTGAAAGCATGATTTTTTTGTTTTGTTTTGTTTTTTAGAAATAGCATTGTGAAATATTTTCTGCCTAATTGCATGAATCTTTGTGGTATCTAATTGCATTTTCAGGCAGGACTTTTAAAAATGACATTTTCTACTACTACCTAAAAATTATTTTTTCTGGCATTTTTTCAAGCATTTTAATGTCATACTTCTAATAATGATTAATTGCGATTTGTATAAGGAAGGAAAAGAAAGAAAATATAAAATTAAAACCATGAATTTGGTTCACAAGTGGTTTGTCACAAAAGTTTCTAAATGGTCATTTATTTAGAAAGGGCCACACACCACCCCTCTATTTCTATTTTTTCATTTCTTGTTCTGATCACACATTATGCTCTTTTTTTCCCTGAGAAAGTAGTTGCCTTATTTCAAAGAAACTCCTCCCCAACCCCAGATCTCACCTCCTCCACAGAGCATTTCTGAAGCAATGGGGTGTCCAAATACATACATGATTATACTTGTAAAACACTGTCATCTAACATGAAACTTTTGCATGGTCCTACATGTGCGATATGCTCAGGAAGCAATATGGTGCAATTGCTTGGTAATTTCAGTATCATTGTTAACGTTGTCATGTGGTAGCATATTCCATTCCCAAGCTTGTTTTGAAAATTTTTGTTATTTATTTCTTCAACTTTGAAAGAGGATTTTAAAAGACTATAAAAGCCCTAGAACTCTAGATATGTTTTATTTACCACTGAAAAACTAATTAACAAAATCCTAAAGATTTTAAATATTTCATAAGATTTATAATCTTAAATCAGAACTGCATGTTGAAAACTTGTTTTAGCCCTTGAATATGACAATATTCTCTTAATGAGAAGAAAATAGGGCAGGTAAGTTTCATTCAGTTATGAGAAAGTATATATTTGTGTCTATCGAAAGCCTGATTTAAGACAAGACCACAAATGGATACTCATTTTAAATAAAGGCAATCAGCTATTGCATCCTTGATTTTTATTCTTTAAGACAAACTTTTAAAATCTAATTTTATGAGAATATGAAGTATTTGTAGTATAAATTAGCAATGAAACATTTTTTCTATCGTTTCCCACGTTAAGAGCTTCTTATATGGGAAGAGTCTTCCTATAATCATAGATCAACTTCCCTGAAAGAGAAAATAAATACCTCTTTATTCTGATTCTGCCTCTGGCTAAATTTGCATTCTACTCATAGGCAGGACTACTCACATGTGGCCGTGAATGTACAAGAGATTTCAGAAACAAATACGACTACCTCAGTATTCCTGAAGCCTCTGCTTACTGGCATTGTATAATGACACAGAAAGCCTTATGAATTAATGACAGCAGCTTACCTGTTTTAATCTTATATCAGCTGACTCTGGATCCCTCAAGGTAGCTTTTGACAACTGATACCTATTTCTATGTCTGTCTGTCTGTCTATCTATCTATCTATCTATCTATCTATCTATCTATCTATCTATCTACCTATCTACCTATCTATCTATCATCTGTCTATCCATCCATCTATCACCTATCTCTATCTAGGCATTTTCTCTAAATCTTGGTTTTCAGTCTCTGTATCTCCTTAGAGCAGCTTGAGATCAAATCTGTCAGTCTCAAAATAAGACACTCTCTGGCTCATGCATGCATTTGACCAGTGACTTAGTAGTCACTCAGCATATCAGAATTTTCACAAAGCCACTGGTTGACTTCTAAGCATTTCCCATGTAATTTAATATAACTGCTACCAAGTATATCATGGTTCCTTATTGATGGTGTTATAATCTATATAGCTTAAATTCTAAATTATTCACCCACTTTTAGCCATTGTGCTAGCATAAAAATACTCATAGGTGAATAGATACATTTAAGCCTTAGGGAGCTAACAGTCAAGAGTAGAGATAGATATATGCAATTGCATTAGAACATGAAATGTTTCACAGTAGTATCTATGGCCTATCTAGCAGAAAAATCCTGTACTGTGCCTACTAGCTGAGAGACTTTAAACAAAGTATATGCAAATTTACTGACACAGAATAGAAATTCAATTAATATCTATGGTTACCACAGTTGTAGAAAGTCTTAGTGGACAACAGAATCCCAAAATATGGAGAAATAAGGGTAGAATAACATAATTTGTTAATAGGCACATCATTTTATCTTTGTCACTAAAAGTTGTATTCTCAGTGTGATCTATGTAGAATCTGATTGGTCGAGAATCCAGTGATTCTGCAGATATTTCTCACTGTCATAATTTTTGGAAAAGGTATTTTTAGTTTCATTTCTAAAAATAATTAAAATTACTAAGGTATAAAATGTCTTATAGTACTTATCATATTTCATAATTAGCAATTCACAACTACTCTCTAGAAATGCCACTGACACAATTTTCAATAAAAATAGCACATGTTCATAATGAGTAGATTGGAGCTGACAATTTTTTTTTCTTTTTTTTTTTCTGAGACGGAGTCTCGCTCTGTCGCCCAGGCTGGAGTGCAGTGGCTCCATCTCAGCTCACTGCAAGCTCCATCTCCAGGGTTCACACCATTCTCCTGCATCAGCCTCCCAAGTAGCTGGGACTACAGGCGCCCGCTGCCACGCCTGGCTAATTTTTTTTTTTTTTTTTTTAGTAGAGACAGGGTTTCACCGTGTTAGCCAGGATGGTCTCGATCTCCCGACCTTGTGATCTACCTGCCTCAGCCTCCCAAAGTGCTGGGATTACAAGTGTAAGCCACCACACCCGGCCTGGAACTGACAATTTTATTGAAGCCTTATGACAAAAAAGCACAAAATGAAAGAGTGAAAAATATTCTGTTGACTATTACAGAGGAGGGAAAAGTGGCATCCTTCACCCTTCTTAGTTCTTAGGCTTGGCTATACATTAAATTGACATGAACAGATTAACAGTAGAAAAACTGTATTTAATTATATACATATGCATGGGGGTCCCACAAAAATATGTAACTTAAAGAAGGGTCACAGATGTTTAAAGTTTACATAACATCCTGAGCTACAAAAAGCAATAAAGGCTTGGGCCTTCTGTGGGGTGGTGAAGACAAGTTATGAGAGAGTTAGAAGAGAAAATATATGGTGAATAAAGATTGCCTTATTATTCTGATAAAAAGTCTTTCAGGTAATAAAAGTTGTGTGGAAGCAGCCCACTATCTTCCTGATAGAGATACTTTTACAAATGCAGGTTTCCTTTATATATATTTACAAAAGGACAGCTTTTCAGAGATACTTCTGTGTCTGCAGGTTCTAAAACTAATGTGAATAATGTGCTTAAAATATTCCAAAAACATATATATTAGGCTGAAATATTCTCGTCTTCTCCAGTCATATTTTGGGGTGGTGTGTTCTGGGCCGCAACAATATAATAGACTAAAAATACTGAATTTGTACTGAGTTCCTGATAAACACATATTTAAGAATTACTGATAATATCAGGTTAGAACAATTCATGTGCTGTTTATAGAACAATTGTTTAATCTTTTTATTTCCTCTGAGGAGAAAGGCAGGGTTTGAAAGGCAGTAAAGATGGAATCCATCAATAAAATCTTCTCCTCTACCAGCAAAAAGGTAAAGGAAAAAATGAGAAACATGCCTGTTATATTACTATATATACATATTGGTTTTCGTCCACAGTTCCTGGCTTATAACCCCCATAACCTTTGTTATTTCCTAAGTGACTAAAACAATAAGCATATCTTTTGTTAAAGTATTTGGCCTTTTGTCCTTGTTTCCTGAAGCAACTTTGGAGCAACTTCAGAGAGATAAAAGTGAAAGATCATCTTTTGTTATAATATTGGGATGCCTTAGACCTCAGAATCAGGCCTCAGACACAGAATTTCTTTCTCTTTGACCTTTTTCTGCCCTCCTTTCACCTGCTCCTTTTTCGCCTCAAGGCAGGCCACTGAAATTAAAAATATACCCTAATTTCCTCCGGCCTTTCTGTCTTGGAGCTGGTCACAAAGAAATTCTCTGACCTACCTTGTCTGATTATAAGTCATGAAACCACCATTTCAGAAGGGGTTCTGCCCCATACCCTGGAGGAGAAAATGTTGCACAGGGAGGCCAAAAAAGAATCTGAACAGATAGATAGAACTTGCTGGGTTTCCCCACTCTGTTTGTCTTAGATCATACCCTTTTTGTCCAATCACATTTCTACCCCCTTATTGATGCTTCAATTATGTCTATGCAATGAAGTTTCCATAAAAGGACCAAGAGGATGGTATAAGGAGCTTCCAGATAGCTGCACTCATTAAGGTTCCTGGAGGATGATGTACCCAAAGAGGGTGTGGAAGCCCTGTGACCCTTCTCCCGTATTTTGCTCTCTGCATCTTATCAGGTGTAGCCCTTGTAATATACTTTATAATAAACTGGTGGACATAAGTGTTTCTCTCAACTCTGTGAGCCACTCTAGCAAATTAATCAAACCCAAGGAAGAGGTTGTGGGAACTATGACTTATAGCTGGTTGGCCAGAAACACAAATAAAATAACCCAAGGCTCGTGATTGGCATCAGAAGTGGATTGAGTCCTAAACCTGTGGGGTCTGATGCTATCTCCCAGTAGATAGTGTGGAATTGGAGAACACCCAGCTGGTGTCCACTGCAGAATCAATTGCTTGCTTGCTGGTGGGGAAAAATCCCCAGATACTTGGTCCCAGAAGTGTTCTGTGTTGATTGTTGTGTGAGAGCAGAGGAAAAACAGTTCATTTTTTAACTCAACATTATACTTCAATTCAAGGTAATTCTTCCTTTTCATCATTTATCTTTTTGAGTTTTTTATGTAATAAGTAGTTAGATTTCTTCAGGTTTGAATAAAATCTAAACCTTTTATAATTTTCCACCTGCAAGTCTTGTGAAGATCAATAATACTCTTTTCACAATCAAAAACTCAAAGGTCAATTTTCAGTCTTACTTTTTTGAGTGTTCCACAGTTAGGACACTATTGGGTAATTACTGTAATCATTCCTTTCTTGGTCTCCACGGTGATTTTCTGTTATCTATCTATCTATCCACTTATCTATTTAGCTAGCTAGCTTGCTATTATTTTACCAACATCTTTCCTCTCTATCTTTTTCACAGATTTTATAGTCCAGATACACGAAACCACTCACATCCATCAAGCCTTGCTTCCACTTCTTTTTTGGCAATGTGCTTATTTATAAGCCTTAAAGCAAATGACAATAAAAATTTTACTGCTTCTGTACCTTTGTTTCCTAAAATTCCACAATACTTGGAAATGTTTCTGTAGTAGCAATTCAATGCAATCATTATTTTAATGCTGTATTGATTTCTTTTTTAATCTCCAGGACCTAATATATTGCCAATCACATTAAAAAAAAACGTCCTTTGAAGGGATGAGTGGGTAGATTGATGAATGACTCAACTAGCTTACAAACTGGGATATAAATATTTATGTGTGTGTGTATATGAATATACATATACATATATTCATATACATATATACATATACATAAACATAGATACATATATAAAAAATCTTTTATTAGGTTCTTTATGTCTACTATCTATCCTTCTCCACCTAGCTCTGTGGGTATGTGACCTGCATCAGGCTCTCTGAACCTCTGACTTTCAGATATGTATTGACAGGACATTAGAGAAAGAGAGGTGAGTATGATCAGGATGGTAAAACCCATCTTAGTCTCCTTCTAACAGAGCTGCTGTGGTCTGAAGGTTTCCCTTTCTGAAGACGAAGCCTCTTTCAGGGGCCATTTCCTATAGGAGGATCACAGGCCACCTGTATTTGCTAATTGGCCTTACCCAAAGGAAAGGTAAGCTCTTTCGCATCTTTATGACAGCAGGGAGTTTTACAACTTCGAGAAAGGCTCCTACCAACAGTAGCCCCATCCTTCCACAGAGACTGAGAGATAAGGGGTATTATTTTTTATTTTTGATAATTACATTTCAAGGGGATTGCCTTCAGGTAGTTGAGATAGATAGTCCTGGGTTGTACAACTGGCAAGGAGGCTTTTTAAAGGATTTGCATCTCAAATGGGCAGAGGAAAAAAGTTGCAGCTACAAATGTTCTAAAGTAAATGTGCTAAGAAAAGGGAGGTAAGGTCTCTGTGGTTAGGCCACCTGAATTCTACAGGTGACTATGTGGGAGGGGTGGATGCCCGTCTAAAGTTTAGTCAAGATGAGAGAAATGTTAATTCTGTCTTGGCCAGTAGTATTTAACCAGATAAAAAGTACAAAAGACACCTTAGACAGAGAGGATGGCCCATAACAAGGTCATGTACAAGCAAATAGAAGAAGCACTGTAAATCCGAAGCATATGGTGTGAGAACAAGTGTTTTAAGAGGTGAGGTGGTAACAGTTTTTACAAGCACATTGAAATATAGTCTGATTCAGCTAATGAAAAAGTAATTTAAAAACTAATGGAGGCACAAGTTTGTAACATAGAATCAAAACCAGAAAAAAAATGATTCCACTGAGGCTAAGAGTTCACTGCTAAGCATTTTATTAATAAAAGGGTGAGTAAGCAGTGCCAAAGTTGAAGGCATAGAAACAATTAGCTCTCAATTAAAAGTCTATTCTTGGCCCTAAAGGAAGAAATCTCTATAGGGCAGTGGAGACAGAAATTTGATTGTAAAGAGATGATGAAGTGAGTAAATAAGAGTTGAAAATATAAAGGTAGACTATTTTATAGAACTTTGAAGAAGTCTGGCAATGAAGAGAAGGAAAGGCTACTATGTGATTCTTTATATTAAATGAAATTTTAGAAATATTTGCTTAGTATGTATTAAGATAGCTTCAATGGCTTGACTTTTGGGGATTTTTTTTCCTCTTTGTTTATTCAGTCTACCTGATTGATCTGCACTTCATATGGATTTATGCCATTTTGATCCTCAACTGTCTGAACTAAACTCTCGCTAGACCCATCTGTTCTGTCTTGATCTTTGGCCTACCTCATACTGCTGGCTTAACTGTTTGTATTTTCAATATCAGTTAGGATGTCTCTGAACCAACTGGGAACTTCCTATCCATACTACAGCTTGAATTTACACAAAAGCAAAGCTTATTAAGATCCTTTATATATTTCTCAAAGCTGCAGCATTGAAAAGGATCACATGCCAAGCTTTGAGTTTGCCACAGGCAATTTGGAAATATCATTTCTAAAAAACTGTACTCATTGTGGGACTAAGATGTTAGACCTTCAGTGGGGAAGTGATTCACAGGTAAAAAGACCAAGTTGGAGGCAAAAAGAATGTATTGAGCTGTGAGATGTTAGAAAGTTAGATCGACAGAGATTAGCAGAAGACAAAAAGAAAACAAAGTAATTAGATGGGAGGGAGATGAAATCTGTGGCCATGCAGATGTACGCCTTGGAAATCTCAGGGCCTTGTAGCGGCTGCTGCTGTTTTGAGAGCTTCAAGGAAAATGTGTAAATGAGAAATGTGTTAGTCAGACAGAGAGTCACTAAAATAAATCATTATCTTTTTATCTTCTAAATATATTGTCTAGTCAACATAGAGCTATGTTAGAAAAAAATGTTACATCATACTTAAGAAGTATTATTTTAAAAGTTTTATCCAAGAAAGCTGTTTCCACTTTCGCATATTGCTTTGTAGTTCATTTTCCAAGAAAATATTTTAAATATGTATGTATTACTTTATCTGAAACCTTTTTATAAAATAATTATGCTTAGCTATATTAATCCAATATATCATATTACAACTAGATTAGAATATCATAATAAAACTACGAGCAAAGAGATTGAGTTTTAGTCTGAAAGATACCATATACTCAAGAATTATAGAGTTAACACACTATTTATTGATAATTAAATACCTATCAGTAGTACACTTACTTATAAGCCATTTTTGTTTTTATTTTTACAGAGGAAAGATTTACATCTTTCTCTGTACCTAACAATAACAGCTGTAAGGGGAAAGGGGAAAGTTCTGCTTGGCCCTCTGCAGGTTTGCTGACAAATCAACTCACAGAAAACAGATAAATTGGAGAAAAGGCATACTAATTTATTTAACATGTATACATGAGAGCTTTCAAAATGAAGACACAGAGATATAGGGGGAAATAGTCTATTTATTTGCTTAGGTTCAACAAAGTATGGACAGCTGTGTAGATATATAATTGTATACAAAGCATATGATCTAATGTTAATAGACAGAGGAGAAGCCCAGCAAGGCCTGTCTGTTTACATTCTTCTTGGCCTCTCTATGCATGTTTTCTCCTTTCTGAGTGGGGGCAGGACTTTTTCTGGAAATGGGGTGTTATGACTTACAGCCAAAGAAGGTAGGTCGGATAATTTCTTTATGGCCACTTTTTACACAGAAAGATGGAGGGAAAGTTGGAGTAATGTTTTTAGGTTTTATGGTTGTCTTTGGGGAAAAGCAGTTCTGGTTTCAATGGCCTGCCCTAGGGAAGAGGGAGTCTAGTTTCTACAGCTAGCCTCTGGAGAGAATGGGACTGAGAAGCAGCAGAACAGGAGAAGGTCAGAGAAAAACGTTTACTTGTGAGGTTGCTTCTGAGTCCTTCATTTTAGGGTCTTGTTTTCTGACCCCAACACAGCATAGCATGGATTCTCAACAAACATGCAAATAGAATAAAACTATCTCCTTAAAATCATCTGCTTATTTAATATTATGTAACAGATAGTTAGGATAAGATTTTAGAGACTTAAAATAATTATGCATTTCTTCGGTTGTTAAAGTACTATTTTTTAGTACTTGTTTTTGAAGTTTCTCATCTAGAATATTTATTACATGAGCGTTTAAATTCTCTGGCTTTTCTACAAAACAATAACAACAACAAAAAACATCCTGATGGGTTAAGGAAGTTAATATAGAGTGAATATTTTCTTAGAAATAGATGCATATTCTGCTTAAATATCTACATAATAACGTCAGTTAGCAAAGGGTAACTTAAAAAAAGTTATCCTCAAAATCTCCTGGGCAATTTTATTTCTCATTTATGTGAAGTCCAATACATTTGATCCTTGTTGTGTGGCCTTTGTACCCAACTATTTTCCAAGCTCTGATTAGGGAGACCCCACCTTGTATTGTGTCTGCTATTTCTAGGGCCTTGGAGAGAAGAGAGTGTTTTTAAGACTGCTTTTTTGGTCAGCTCTGGGAGTGGCACACCATTCTGCAACACACATTCCATTAGCCAGAATTGTGTCTTGTGGTCCCATTCAGAAGCAAAATGTCTGTAGAATGTGTTTAAGTATGTCCAGCAAGCAGAGAAAAACCAAATATTGATAAATACAATCAACTTCTATCACAGTAATAAAGCATTACTTTCTTATTAACATTTTATAAATGTAAATTATTTTATTTTGAGATCTGTGTTCAATGTAAAATTTTTTGAAGGTATTATATTACTTAATGAGGAACTTAAAGTAAAATAATTTAAGTACGGTAATGCAGACAGTAAATTTAGACTTAGTATTTAAATTCAGCAAGGCCCATGCTCAATTCTAGATCACTATGTTTAAGGTCTAATCGTAAAACAGAGCAGCAATTGCAATACAGAGTTAAGTATTTTGGTTGGCAGCAATACATATACTCTATATTTACATGTAAGTTATTACAGTTTAAAAGTATGTGGGAAAATAGGTTCAAAATAGATAAAGATTTTATAACGTAAGAGAATGGAGAACTGAAATAATTATTAAGTTTTCTTAAAGGAAAAATTGCTCTACATTACTACCTAAGTTTATCTTCTGTTTCATTTTGATAAAATTTATGTTAAACAGTCTAATAAAATATTAAATCACACGTCTTTTTCTTAAAGTTCCTTAAAATAATACTCTCGTCTATGTTATCAGTAAACAGTCTTAATATTGCTGTTCTCCTGAGATAATTTTTCTCTAATTGCTGCTCATTATTTAAGGAAACTTTCAATATTAGTAAAACATTGCTCCAAATCTTTCATTTAGAGCTATTATTATACCTGTGCTGTTTTTTCTTCTGCCCACGAAGCCTGTCAAAATGCAAATTGCTTTCTCTGACCAAAAGTACAGCAGGAGCACAGCCTGGCTGCTTTTTACACAAAACCACCAACAGATTTGTTAACAGCTGTTCTTGGGGTCTGTGCACGTAATGGAAACTTCAGAACCTTGCAGGGTTCATGGTTTCTTCTGTCTGCAGCACAGGAATCGTTTAACAGTAGGTGACACTTTTGGCAATGTATAATTAAAGGGCTTGTTTTAGCAAAATTACACCCTGTGTAACACATAATAAAAGATAAGGGGGAAGGAGAGGTAACAGGCCTGGGTATACAATTTAGTTTGTAGCAGAGAATGAGCACAGTTGGGAGCTTGACTATTTTTGCTGTGATTCCTGAGGTCATATTAAGCAAAACAAATCACTATGTTTCTACTTTATTCAGGTGACAAGTGGATCGATAAGATAATTAATAATATCTCTTCTTCCCTATTTGGCTAATTGAGACGAGGGAAGATTATAAACGGGTCTACAACATGAAAAACCAGAAGTCATTTAATTTGAATGCCAGCATCACCTCCCCAAGGTTATTGATATTTGATTTAAAGGGGAATAAAAGATGGACAATTTAAGTGAATCTGACTTGTATTGTTCTGAATCCATATGCATTGATTCAGATTTGTGAGATGTCTTTTCAACAAGGTAGCTTTGGATCAGTGGGGCTTGCATATTTGATCATATTTCTTTCAGAACCTTTCTTAAATACTCTTCATTTGTTACCACCAGGCAAAGGCAAATCTCTAGTTTAGAAAACTTGATTTTAAAATAAATTAGAAAGTAAAGAGAGAAAAGGCATGTTCCATTCCTGACATTTGTATATACTATTACTCATTGAAAACATAACATGGTAAGTTTGTTTCATAGTCATTACCTCTACCATCATCTGTTACCCCCTTTGAACTACACCGTTAATTATCTTTGCCTACTTCTGAAATGCATATACATAAAATCTTATTGTATGTAACATTTGAATATAGCGTTTTTGCTTATCATTATGTTACTGAGATTTATCAGTGTTGTCACACATAATTTCAGTTTATTTTTATTGACATGAAGCATCCTATAATATGAATATGCCACACTATATTTAATATTGATGGACATTTTAGTTATTATAAATCATGATGATATAGTTTTGCATGTACTTTGATGGACACATGCAAGCATCTTATTAGGTAATACAATATATTATAGAATTGCTACTTTATAAAATATATGTATGTTTAGCTTCAGTAAATACTGCCAAATAATTGTCTAAAGGGATTGTTCCAAGTCACATTCCTGCCATCAATATATGAGAGTTCCATATCCTCACCAACACTTGGAAATATTAGTATTTTATTATATTTTAGTTATTCCAGTAAGTATACAGTGGGATTTCATTGTTGTAACATTTGTTTGCCCAATGATGAATGAGGTTAAACATCTTTTCACATGTTTATGCATTATTTGGATGGCTTTTATTTGAAGCACCTGCCCAAGTCTGTAGCCTATCTTCTTATCAGGTTATTTATCTTGATATTGTTGACCTGAGACATCTTTTATAAATTTTTAATATTTGTTATATATACATATATGTGTGTGTGTATACACAAACATTTAACTATAATCTTTTCTTGATTTTTTGCCTTTTCTAACCCTTAATGATGTCTTTTAAGATATAAAATTTTAATTAACTTTAAGTTCAATTTGTCAAATTATCCTTTTCTTTTGTTAATTTTTTGTATTATGTTACAATCAACTGACTATATATGTGTGGGTGTCCCTCTTTATATTCTATTCTATTGATGAGTTTATCTCTATCTGTACCCATACCTCACTGTTCATTCACACTGTAATTACATGAAGATGAAATACTTAGTGTTCTAAGTTCTCCTGCATCATAATTGTCTTTGTTATTCTTTTTTTTGCATTTTCATGTAAGTTAGACAATCCATGTATTCATTTTCATAAAATAAACTACTGGAAATTTGTTTTGAATTGCACTAAATCTATGTATCAGTTTTAAAACAACATTTTTAATATTAACTCTTAAAATCATATAGCTTATTCCTAATTAGTTTTTAATTTCTCCCAAAAGTGATTTATATGTTTTTTGTTTTGTTTTTAGAGCTCTTATACCACTTTATTTTTATTTCTAGGTATTTATGTCTTTATCTTTTTATAAATAGTATCATTCAATATTTTTTTCAATTGGTTGCTAGAATTTCTGATATTTTCAATTTGTGTGTATTAGTCAGGGCTCTCCAGATGGATGGAAATAATAGGATATATATATATATATATATATATATATATATATATATATATATATCTTCTATTATAAATATTACATAGTTTGTAAAAATAAACTCATATATATATATATATATATATATATATATATATATATATGTATATTTGGGAATTTATTAAGTAGTATTAAGTCACATGATCACAAGGTCCCACAATAGGCCATCTGCAAGCTGAGGAGCAAGGAAGCCAGTCTGAGTCCCAAAGCTGAAGAGCCTGGAGTCTGATGTTCAAGGGCAGGAAGCATCCTGCATGGGAGAAAGATGCAGGCTGGGAGGCTAAGCCAGTCTAGCCATTTCATGTTTTTCTGCTTGCTTTCTATTCACTGGCAGCTGACTAGATGGTGCCCACCCAAATTAAGGGTGGGTCTGCCTTCCCCAGCCCACTGACTCAAATGTTAATCTCCTTTGGCAACAGCCTCACAGACACACCCAGAATCAATACTTTGCATCCTTCGATCAAGTTGACACTCAGTATTAACCATCACACTGTGTTTTGCCTTCTTTCTCCTTGATACATTTTTTGTAAGGTATTACTTGATTTTATTAAGATTTTCAAAGTCTGAGCTTTAAAATTTATGGGGAGTTCTTCATTTTATGTTTTCTATTTCTTTGATTTTTATTCTTCTTTAATAGTTTCTAACTTCCACATTAATTATGTTTTGTTGATTTTGTTGATTTTTTTAGCTTCCTTTCTTTTACATTTATTCAATTCTATAAATTTTCCTAAAAGTAGTGCTTTAGTTTTATATCATATTTTTACGTATAATATTTTCATAACTATTTAGAATATTTTCTAATTTCCATTATGATTTCTTCTATAACTAAAGTATTATTAAGAATTTAATTTCTAAGCATTTGGGATGTTTTATTTGTTATTTTTGTTTTGTTTTATTGTCTTTTGTATTTTCTTTTAGTTTGTGTTTATATAGTTTTCTTGAGGTATCACTGACATACAGTAAATTGTACAAATTTAAATTATACCATCTGAAAGTTTTGACATATTTATACAAAACTGTGAACCACTGGCACAATTAAGAAAATAAACGTATCAATAATCCAAAAGTACATTGTATTAATTCATTATCCTAAATATTTGACTGTTTTTTTTTCTGGTCTAATTTTTTAAATAGTCATCTCCATCTGGATTCTTTTCCTTCTTCTTGACTTCATTTTATGCTCAGTGTTTTCACATACATTTTTAGCTGAGCAAAGTTCCTCCATGAGGCATTCCACTCAAACTCATTTTTCCTTGACAGTGGGTGGGTCAGTCTCATAAATTACTTCTTTTACGCCAGAGCATCTGAACATCTGAACATTGATCTGAGATAACTGGTAGATTTTAGCATTTTGATTTATTTTCTAAAGAGAGAGTGCACAGTTAATCATCTATGCAATATTTATATTGTAAAGGAACACTTGTTTAAAAATATATACTTTTAACATGATGGGAGAGAAATTTTCAGCTCTAAAACTACATAGGGTTTTATTAAATTTTCCAGAGATTAATGGAATGGTTTACAGGCACATTGTAAAAAATGCATTGTATGTTAATATATTTTAAAACTCCTTTTAACTTCTGCCAGTGTTTAATATGGGGCTGGATAATAGATGGGTACGTACAAGAGACTAATAAAGTGAAGGCTGCAGGAGGTGAGATGTGCAGTGTAGCAGGCCTTGTGGCTACACAGACGTGGCTCACAACTCACCCAATTTGTTTCTCAGCATGTGTCTTGATGTGTTTTATAAATTGGAATTGTTTTAAAAATCAGTCCAAGTAAAAAATATACAAACAAAAAGCAGACTTTAAAATGACTTTTAAAAAGACCCTCTCTAAGATGATTTTAAGCAAGATCCTCATTTCTAGATCACACAAATCCCCAGGAGGCTTACAAGGACTTATTGATCTCCATTTCTTATTTATCATGCTTTGAAATGAAAAGCACAATATATATGGTATATGTGTGTGTGTGTGTGTGTTGATGAGAGTTTGTACAACTGTGATTCAATCACGGTATATTTTAATTTAATTTAAAATGCTCCAAACAGATTTTAAGAAGCCAAAATACAAATGTGGTCTTTTAAAATGAGTTCTAGAGAATATCAGAATAGTTCAATTCTACCTACTGTTATAGAAGGTTCAAATTAGGATTATTGGAAAAGTGTTTAGCTTAAGTGTTAGGATAAAATTACTAATAAATTATTATAATTATTGGACTACTTAGTACATCATTTTATATGTCAAAATCTGTGCTAATTATATTGCATATGAAATCTTAATTATTCCAAGTGTTCTATGACATAGTATTTTATCACTCCTATTTTTTGTATGGGAATGTTGTGTTTCTGATCTGCTAATGGACTCTTTCACGATCACAAAGCATATAGATAGAGCAGTTGGAAATTTAATTCAGTTCTACATGTCCTACAGGACTTCTTGTTTCTTTTTTCTTTTTCTTTTCTTTTCTTTTCTTTTTTTTTTTTTTTTTTTTTGAGTGGAGTCTCACTCGGTCGCCTGGGCTGGAGTGCAGTGGTACGATCTTGGCTCACTGTAACTTCTGCCTCCTGGGTTCAAGCAATTCTCCTGCCTCAGCCTCCCAAGTAGCTGGGATTACAGGCACCCACCACTGCATCCAGCTAATTTTTTGTGTTTTTAGTAGAGACCATGTTGGCCAGGCTGGTATCGAACTCCTGACCTCGTGATTTGCCCACCTCAGCCTCCCAAAGTGCTAGGATTACAGGCATGATCCACCACGCCCGGCCCCCACAGGATCTTTTAACTCTGCTAAGCTTTTTATTTTTTATTTTTTTTAACAAGGACAGTATATTTTTCTCACAGTTTAAATGGTTATTTTATAATTATATAGTTTATAACTATAATTTCCATCTTGTTCTTTTTAGAATCCTTGGTTTATAGACCATAGTAATATAGGTTTCCAAATATAGAACCTAAAGTTGTGTTCAAATCATAGGAACGTCTGTGCCTAAAAGGCTGCAAATTATTAGATCAAACCCTCTGGAACACATTTTTTGTTAGATTTTATGGGGTTAGCCATGAAGATTTGATCCTCTATCTGGATTTCATGTTAAAGGCTTAGCACTAAGTTTTTCTTGCCAAAGAGCTGCTTTTCTTTCTGTTTAAATTGTAGGCTTTTGTTTTTTTCTTCAGATGAATATGCAGGTTGACATCTCTTTAGAAATACAACATATCTAAGTGATATGTCATGGAACTTCTCTTTATTTATTATTCTTGTCGTTCTTTTTCTTTTCCTCTTCCATTTGGCTGCCCATGATCCAAATGCAATTCTTTTTCCACTACTAAAGCATATCCATACTTTAAATCACCTAATGTATTGCTTTCATTCTAATCAATATTTGCAAGTCCTCAGTATTAGTACTTGGATTGTTAATTCAGATCACCCCCTGCCAATAAACTAATGAAAGCATTTTGGCCACTCTTTCTGCTCTGTCAGAGAGCATATTACAAAGACTGACCTTGTGTGGTGATTTCTAGAAACTGTAACAGGGTAACAGGGAAATGGAGGCCTTCAGATAATATGTTTTACTCAAATAAATATGAAAGAGTTTAATTGATTTAATAGACTGTACTTACTAGCATTTAAAATTATTTGATATAGTAGAGCTTTAAGATACAGTTTTTCCACAGGAACTTAATTGCTTTACATGGTTACTCTCAATTATTTCTATGATGCAACCTGTATCTTCCATAGGTATAATTTTTCCTAGCTCACAATTCCATGTCTCTCCCTTTAAATAAAAGTTTTGGAATACAATGGGTTGGAGAAAGATATAAGTGCTTGTGAGTTATAACTGAATCACTGGTCATAACTTCTTTCTGGATTTTCGTTGATTGTTCCCTTTAGGGAAGCAGATTCTGAAACTGGAATTGGAAACCAGAAAGTTGATTAGAGTGTGTTCTGGGGTGAGGGTGGCAAGGCGGAAATGCCCATGTGAGAAAGGGGAGAGGGAGGGACTAGGTAGTAGCAACAGAGGTTTCCCTCACTTACTTGGAGTTCCTGAGCTGCAGCACCCATCAGATTTGTCATTTTTGAACCAAGGGAGCCTAGGCCTTTTGAAACCTTCATATAAGCAGTCTTAGGATTCAGGCTGTCCTGGGGATGGGGAAGGCATGTCACCTTGGATAAGACAGCTTTCTTTGGCTGCAGAAATTTTCTGAATAAAGGAGAATCTGAACAGCCCAGTATCTACCACAATTTTAAAGGGCATATTTGAAAGCAATAAACCTAAATATATTTATACATTTTGTATTCTGAATGGGATTTTTCTTACTTTTGGAAGTCAAACTTCTCTCACAGCTTTCTCTAAATTTTAGTATTCATTACTTACTCTCAAAACACATGAAAGGGGTCTTGTATTAGTCCGTTTTCACGCTACTGATAAAGGTATACCAGAGATGGGGCAATTTACAAAAGGAAGAGGTTTATTGGACTTACAGTTTCACGTGGCTGGGGAGGCCTCACAATCACAGCAGAAGGTGAAAGTCAAGGAAGAGCAAGTCACAACTTATGTGGATACCAGCAGGCAAAAGGGAGAGCTCGTGCAGAAAAACTCCTGTTTTTAACACCATCAGATCTCATGAGACTCATTCACTATCATGAGAACAGCCTAGGAAAGACCTGCTCCCATAGTTCAGTCACCTCCCCCTGGGTTCCTCCCTTGACACATGGGAATTGTGGGAGTTATAATTCAAGATGAGATTTGGGTAGGGACACAGCCAAACCATATGAGGTTTTTTATTTCTAATACACATTTATATGTTTTTAATCAAATGAGTGACTAGACAAATGCAAAGGAAATGGAGTGCTGTATAAATATAAAATCTATTTATTTAAAACTAAGCTAAAAAGAAGTCCAATATTAGACTTAACAAACTTAAATAGTGCTAACTTAATAAACTTTTTAATATAACCAGAAATAATAAAATGATAAACATAAATATTCTGAACATTTTGGTGAGCTGTCTCCCAAGGCCTTCTTGATCTTTTTACTCATATCTAAATGAAAAGGAATATATTGGTGTACTTTTAGCAACAGGAATTATGTTCAATTATATTATCTAAAATAGGCATTTACTTTTTTAACTGTTAAACTCACCTGAAATTTTGACTAAGAATTTAGGCAAAAATATATTACCATACCACAAATGAATTTTTTAAAAGCATGTGTTCATTTTCCCCCATCTGGAATAAGTCTAGATCCATGATTTTGAATTCCCTGATGTATTCAGAAAGAACTTGAAATGAATACTATTCAGAGCAGTGATTACTTTCAGAAAATATTCAGAGGTAGCTTTCAGTAACTGCTAGCATTTTTTTTTTGAATGCTATGTTTCAGCAAATTGTGCTGTGTACTTAGTGTATCTTATCTCATTTAGTTTTCACTATAGGACACAAAGGAATGCTATTAAACCTGTTTTCCAGATGAGAAATCTGAGACTCAGAGATTTTAATGAAGCTGCCCAAAGCTAGAAGGATACTAAGTAGAAAAATCAAGGAATAAATCATTATTTGGACCCAACATGCAGGTTCTTTCTACTAACACCATGCTACAGGGCTCACCAAAATTGGTACTCATTTGGAATTTGAGTATTAAGCAATATAACAAAGATACATAATCAAAGTTCTTGAAACAAAGCACTCAGAGACTGTTTATACCTGTTTCTAGAGAGAGTGATAGAAATAAACATAGATCTAGAAATAATTGCTTCAAAATACATTATGTAGTCTGGTATAACAACTATTATACACTTCCACAAATAAAGGACAGTAATGTGGTTTCTTTCCAAAATATCCTAAATAAGTGTGATTAATAAGGATTGAAACAAATATATATCTTTAAAGAGTAAGACTTAAATAACTTACATGATAAATACATTAGATAATTTAGTGTGAAGAGTAACTTCTAATGGTTTCAGCAATATATATATTTTATTGGCTGTCTCTCAGGACCCATTTCTTCAGATGGTTCTGTGATATTATATCAGACATAAATATCCACTTCAGAGAACAAGTACACTAAAGCTATATCTCTAAGATGACATATCATCATTATTTAGCATTGCATAACTAAGTGCACACAGACAAACAAAAGCTAAACAACAAAGTTCGGAAGTTTGACTGCATGTAACTTAGGAAACTCAATATATAGGTAATCCAGTATAAATCGAATTATTCTTCTTGGGTAGATGTAAACATCCCCAATTATTCTTCATTGCAACTGTATCAGTCTGCCAGGGCTGCCATATAAAAATCACAGATGGAGTGGCTTGAACAACAGAAATTTATTTCTTCACAGCTCTGGAGGCTGGAGTTTCCAGATCAAGGTGCTGACAGGTTTGTTTTCTCTGAGGCTTCTCTCTTTGGCTTGCAGATGGCTGCCTTCTCACTGTGTCCTCACATGGCCTTTTCTTTGTGCTTGTGCATCCGTGATGTCTCTTCCTTTTCTTGCAAGCACATCCCTCAGTGCTATTGAATTACGGTTCCATCCTTATGACCTCACTTAACCTGGCCCTTTCTTCAAGGACAGTCACATTGGGGGTTAGGGCTTCCGCATATGAATTTGGAGAGAGATACAATTCAGTTCCTATCACCAACTCACCCAGCAACCTAAGCACTATACACTAAAACAACCTACAGATTATGTCAAGCTGAGACTTGAGAAGCATGAGGACAGGGCTGATAGGTATTTTCAGGGCAGAAGAGGAAACCAAATCACAAGTTCAGCAACATAGAACTGGTCAGTAGCTTCTTAAGATAAAAGAGGCAGGAAAGTGGGCAACATAAAGAGGCAAAAGGTGGATACACAGGCTAACTTTATACAACTGGCCAAGCAAAGAGCAGGTCTGAGATGTAGCCAAAATAGTGGTCAGTGGTACAGATCATAATATGGATACCATGATACTGGTACACAGAGAAAAATTCTGGTTAAAAAAAAAAAGTCAGTAAAGAACCTAGGTGAAGGTGTAGGTTAAGTAAAGTCAGGATGCAGGCATATGGCATTAGAATCAACTCGCTACTGATTCCGTGACTCAGAGAAGTAGTTCTCCTGAGTTTTTTCCTGTCCAAAATCAGCTTTTCTGAAGTGCTACCCAAATGGAGAAGATTAAGCTCATTTAGCTGAGGGAGTGAGATGGGAGAATAAAAAGCAAATGGTTACAGTAACTGTCTCTGTACCTTGAGGGTTATCTTATGCGATGGCGTGAGGGTGGAAAGAAGGATATCTAAAATGAGGTACAAAAAGAAACAAATGAACTTGTATAATATTATTCAAAACAATAAACAGGGTTAAATGTTAATGCCTGCACACAGTCAGATTCCTTTATGCTTTTCTGGTAATTTCTTTAAACTATTTCTGAATTATTTCCTATTTTTCCAAGTTCTGAAAAGAATATTTGTCAAATTCACATTTTAAAAAATGCACTGAAAGCATGTACTAGCACTTCTCAATGATACATGGTCATAAACTGGGAAAGTGTATATGTTTGATATTTCCCCCACTATTCTAATTGCTTTTCACATAAGATCATTGCAAAAGATATGTTAGCTAATAGAAATAAACACACTGAAAAAAAAATGAGAAGTTCTTATGAGCAAATACCTCATTATTTCGGAAGCATAGATGTTATCAGTTTAGGTAACTTCATTAAGAGTCTTTTTGTTGGCACAAATATGTTTTGGTTTCAGGATGTGGCTGATGTTATGTTACATATTTCTCAAAACCAAAATATATGCAAGTCTTATTTTACAAGAAAATATTTGGGTTAAATCTCTGTAAACCCTATGCCTACTGGGCATGCACAGAGATTAAGGAAAATATCATTCATTAAGTATCCTCAGGGAACAAAGCTATCCCAGTTAATTTTGCATCTGTTTGCTATTTTTAGCCTGCATTTTGTTTATTGAATTATTTTTCAGCATTTGAAAAGTAAAAAAGTTTAATTTTTATATTAAAATTGACTGATCACAATTGATAAATCACAATACCTCTTCAAATAATCACCAATAATACAATATAGTGTGAGACAAAAAAGATAATATTGAAAAAGATAATATTAAAAGATAATATTAAAAAAGATAATATTGAAATACATTATGGTGATACTTTATTATTTTTATAGTCTTATTAAAATTTCTTTTTTTTTTAGGTTTCTTAGGCTTCTATATATTACCTTATTTTCAGAAAATATGCAACCCTGATTATTTCAATTGCTTAATGTACACCCAATTTGGGGGTTTAAAAAACTATAAACAGATCATAATATCTTACTTTAATTATATTCTTATTTCATTCCAGTTTGTTGACTCCCAGACATCTTTGGTTTATTTCTTAGTCATCTGAGGACTTTCCTGCCTTAAGTGGTCATACATAATTTTTTGATTTCATATTGAAAAGATTTATAACATTGCTTCACAAATCTATTCAACATTTAAAATTATTTTCAAGTGCTTTGATCCTTTTTGTATTTTTTCTGATGTGGGTTAATTTATAAATTTGACTTAAACAAAAATAAATTGTTAGAATTTAATTATAAGCCACAATCTTCTTCTGCTACTCCAGCCCCAAACTTAAATTTTGCCACATTTTTCTGGTTCTTAAATGATAGCCATCAGCCATCTTTATGAAATCTGATTTTACTAGATGTTTTCTTTATTGCTTTCTTTTCTTTTACTCTTATTACATTGGAAATATTCACTTTTAGAACAACTTATAATAATGGAATTCCATATATTCCTTCCATTTTTAATAAGAGAAAGAATTCAGAGTAGAAATGTTTTTTATAGTATTAAAAGGAAAACTTAAGTTAAATTTATGATCTGAGAGAGACCAAGGTAAATACCCCTTTCATTAATTAAGACGGCTCCTAAGGTTAAGGAAACAAAGTTTCCTACAGGTTGATGATTCAGGACCTGGCTAACATGAAAAATATTTAAATTCCAGAAAAACCACACTTTCGTTAAACTCCATAACAGAAGAAATTATCAGATAAATTACCAGAACTCTGATTTACAACCCAAGTATTACAACCCTGATTGGACAGAGGACTGGCTTTACATTCTTTTCTAATGAGCTACTATAGACTTTAAGCCAGTTACAGCCAGCTTACAGAGGCTGTGCACAAACTTTGTGTCCTATAGTTAACCTTTTGACTAAAAATGCTAAATTCCACCACATTTTAATGCTAAAACCCGTTCTCAAAGTGAACATGGGATGTATGTTACATATATTACCCACTGTGCACATGCCCAGCTCCCTTTGTGAATACATATGGTTTTCCCCCCAAACCTGCTGAATATGTACAATTTATTGTATAATATGGACCCTGTGAGGCATAAAACACAACCCATCTTCCCCTCTTTGAAGAGAACCTCTTTGGCACAACTTTGACTGGAGACTAGGCTTCCCAGCTTGCAAACTGATACCACTAATAAAGTTCTCCTTTCTACTATCTAGCCATTCTGGTTGTCTTTTGGGAGACAAATTTAATGGAGTTTAATTGAGCAAAGAACAATTCGTGAATGGTACAGCCCCCTCCTCAACCAGAATAGGTTCAGAGCAACTCTGTCACTGCTGCATGGTCAGAGAGGGTTTATGGACAGAAAAAGGAAAGTGAGGTTCAGAAAACTGAAGTGACATACAGAAACAGCTGGATTGGTTATAGCTCAGTGTTTAACTTCTTTGATCACAGTTTGAACAGTTGGCCGCTTGTGACTGCCTAAGGCTTGGTGATTGGTGCAAGAGTAGTTTACAGTCTGTTTACACATCAAGTTAGATTACAGATCACTATGCACAGAGAAACCTTTAGGCTGAACTTAAAATATGTAAGGAAGCAAAGTTAGGCTAAAATTAATTTAATAATAGAAACAGGACATAGGCATGGGCAAACACTTCATGACTAAAACACCAAAAGCTATGGCAACAAAAGACAAAATAGACAAGTGGGATCTAATTAAACTAAAGAGCTTCTGCACAGCAAAAGAAACTACCATCAGAGTGAACAGGCAACCTACAGAATGGGAGAAAATCTTTGCAATCTATCCATCTGACAAAGGGCTAATATCCAGAGTCTACAAAGAACTTAAACAAATTTACAAGAAAAAAAATCAACCCCATCAAAAAGAGGGCAAAGGATATGAACAGACACTTCTCAAAAGAAGACATTTATGCAGCCAACAGACATATGAAAAAATGCTCATCATCACTGGTCATCAGAGAAATGCAAATCAAACCCACAATGAGATACCATCTCACGCCAGTTAGAATGGCAATCATTAAAAAGTCAGGAAACAACAGATGCTGGAGAGGATGTGGAGAAATAGGAACACTTTTACACTGTTGGTGGGAGTGTAAATTAGTTCAACTATTGTGGAAGACAGCGTGGCGATTCCTCAAGGATCTAGAACTAGAAATACCATTTGACCTAGCCATCCTATTACTGGGTATATACCCAAAGGATTATAAATCATGGTACTATAGAGTCACATGCACACGTATGTTTATTGCAGCACTATTCACAATAGCAAGGACTTGGAACCAACCCAAATGTCCAACAATAATAGGCTGGATAAAGAAAATGTGGCACATTATACACCATGGAATACTATGCAGCCATAAAAAAGGATGAGTTAATGTCCTTTGCAGGGACATGGATGAAGCCTGAAACCATCATTCTCAGCAAAATATCACGAGGACACAAAACTAAGCACCATGTGTTCTCACTCATAAGTGGGAGTTGAACAATGAGAACACATGGACACAGGGAGGGGAACATCACACACTGGGGCCTACTGGGGGTGGGGGTCTGGGGGAGGTATAGTGTTATAAGAAATACTAATGTAAATGATGAGTTAATGGGTGCACCAAACCAACATGGCACATGTATACCTATGTAACAAACCTACACATTGTGTACATGTACCCTAGAACTTAAAGTATTCAAAAAAAAAAGAAATAGGAATTCTACTTACTGAACATTGAGAGTCACAATTCAGTTAAATATTGCCAGTGAAGTTACTCGAAGACCTTTGCATTTTACTACCTCAGACATATTGTTTTACTAAACGGTCTTCAGAAATTACTTCCAAAAGAGTTTTTGTTTTTAAACACCCAAAAGAAAAATGTTGAATTAAAAAACCTTAAAGAAGATAAATTAATCTTGTTTTATAAAAGTTCTTTACCCTCTTTATATTCATGCTCAGAAACCTATATCATTCAAATTCTTTCTTATACACTTCTAATCTATTATAGCCCTGGCTAGGTACACACATACACACACACACACACACACACACACACACACACACACACACATGCCTGTATGCATATGCATATCTTTCAAAGCACTTTATGTTGGCTATAAATTCTATAATAATTTCTACTGACTGCTATGTATGAGTGACAAACTAATGTTCAGTTTTAATGTATCCCTCAATTCCTTCCATAAAAATATATATCTTTTACAGCAAATGCATAAAAACCAAAACATGTACATCTTTTCACTAAAAACAAAATACTATTAATAGAAAGTTCAAAATACATGAAAGAATACATCATAATTATGAATTACAAGAGTAAGTTTACAAGAATGTCAATTCTCCAAAAATTTATAAATGTATATATGTGTGTATATTAATAATTGTATATAGGCCAGGAGCAGTGGCTCACACCTGTAATCCCAGCACTTTGGGAGGCTGAGACCAGTGGATCACTTGAGGTCAGGAGTTTGAGACCACCCTGGCCAACATGGCGAAAACCCATATCTAATAAAAATACAAAAATTATCCAGGTATGGTGGCACACCCCTGTAATCCAAGCTACTTGGAAGGCTTCAGAATTGCTTGAGAAGGCAGTGGTTGCAGTGTGCTGAGATGGCACCACTGCACTCCAGCCTGTGTGACAGAATGAGACTCCAGCTCAAAATAATAATAATAATAATAGTAATATTAATAATAATAAATTGTATACAGTTATTCAAATAATAGTTTTTTCCTGAAATTGACAAGGTGATTCTAAAATTTGTACAGAAATGCACAAAACCAAGAATAGCCAAAGCAATCTTGAAAAAGAAAAACATAAAAGCTACTGGATAATTAAAATGGTATAGTATCAGTCCTATTATAGACAGAATACCTCAAAGAACAGAATAGGGAATCCAGAAAAAGACCCACACATGTAGTTACCTGATTTAAGATAAAGTGACAGTATATATTTGACACAGTAAAGAGACTCCTTTCAGTAAAATGTGCTGGATTATTTGGATTAACTGCATCTGTGAATCTGCGGAGGCATGAGAGGAACAGGGCACCTACATGCTGTGCACTGTTTTCTGTGACAGCAAAAGAGCTCATTTCAGTGATGCTGGAGATGAAGGGGAAGAGGTCTTTGGGGTGGAACGACAATGAGTCTTGCACATTGCTTTAAGGTTAACAAAGCTTTTTGTGTTCCTTAATATATTAGAGTTCATAACAATTTTATTTCTGATGTGAAAGAATTTATTGTCAGTAAGATGCCTGGCCTTATTAATTCTTGTCAAGGTAATCATAAGACTGATGGTAAATCTCAAGTGGTCCCTTTTATTTAATTTCCTCTATTTTGGAAAGAAAGATATGCAAAAATCATAGCTGCTTTCTATGGGAAAATCATGGGACTGTCATAAGGCCTCATGTTCTCTTCTTCTCCAAGGATCTGACCACATCTCTGACATCAATACTGAGTGTTGTTCTCAGTTTCCATATATTCAGGAAACATTTTATATGATCCACGTGTAACATCTGGAACTCTTGAGACTTTTTCCTCTTCAATTTCAACATATTATTATAAAATTTAAATCTCCTCCTAACACTGAAATTAGGACATTAAGGAACAAATGTCATCTGAAAAACATTAATGGATCAGATTCATAGGTTTGAAATGGATCTACTTTCAATACAAATGGGGATACAAAACTATATAAAGTAATACAATTCTTTACTTAGAATGCCAAGTAGTCGATAATTTGTACTAAATATAGATTTCATGATGACTAGTAAGGAACATAATCGCTGGAAATGCTAGAATTTAAAAAGCCTCATAATACCAAGTATTAACAAGGATGTGAAGTAACTGGAATTCTCTGATGGAGAATGTTCTTGGTGGGAGCAAAATATGGTAGGGTTATTTAGAAAAAAAATCACATGAACTGTGTCTATGAAAACTGAGTATACACATCCCCTATGTCCCAACACTTCTAGGTATGTACACAATAGAATGTATACTTTTATTGCCCAAAAGACATTACCAAAATGACCACTTCAGCATTATTTGTAATGGCCAAAAACTATAACCACCTAAACATTTATCAGTAGGTGAATGAATAAAGAAAATTTTACAGATTTATACAATGAAATAATTGTAGAATTTAATTTAAGTAGGGTAGAAAATATGCAAAACTAATATATGATTTTAGAAGATAGTGGTTCCACTTGTATTGTAAGCAGTGGCCAAAAACAAGAGTGCATGAAGGAGCCCTCTGGATTTCTAGTAATAGTGTCTCTTGAGCAGGGTGTTAATTATACAGGTATATTCTGTTTATGAAAATTCACCAGACTGCACAGTTAAGCTAGACACATCTTTGTGCATATGTATATATGTATATATGCAAATCTCAATTAAAATAAAAATCAAAAATATTATTTTATACACATTAGTTTATTTCCTATAAAATGTCTGAGACCAAAGTTTGGTTTTAGAAGAGTACGAGTTACACCTATATTTTTTAAAATCTCATTTTCTCTTATTTATTTCAAATGACAAAAATTATATACATTTATGATATACAACATGTTTGGATATATGTATACTTTGTAGAATGGTTAAATCAAGCAAATTAACATATGCATGACTTTCCATACTTATTTTATTTGTAGTGAAAACATTCAAAATCTACTTTCTTAGCAATTTTCAAGTATACAATAAATTGTTATTAACTATAGCCTCCATGTTGCAAATGGATCACACCCAATTTTTTTTTTCAAAGTAAATGCAGCACAGAATTAATTGAGAAGTTTCAGTTTAGTCTGGGTTTTTATTCCTACTTCATTAATCTCATAAAAATTAAATTGCAGTTGGGTGCGGTGGCTCATGCCTGTAATCCCAGCACTTTGGGAGGCCAAGGCAGGCGGATCACAAGGTCAGGAGATGGAGACCATCCTGGCTAACACGGTGAAACCCTGTCTCTACTAAAAATACAAAAAATTAGCCAGGTGTGGTGGTGGGCGCCTGTAGTCCCAGCTACTAGGGAGGCTGAGGCAGGAGAATGGCATGAACCCAGGAGGAGGAGCTTGCAGTGAGCTGAGATTCCAGCCTGGGTGACAGTGTGAGACTCCGTCTCAAAAAAAAAAAAATTTAAATTGCATATATTTTCTATATATATAAAATGTAGCAAGGGACCAGACTTCTCACAAATTTTTATGTTGAAAGTCAAAACTGCTGTATCAGCCATTTCAAAATTCACTAACATTTTTACACTAATAAAGAATGAAATTTCAAGTGTATCAAGCTATCAAGATAAACCTAGAGGGAGGAAGAGGAATGCTTACATGTTTCTACCATCTTGCTTTTTAACTTTAGGTTTCTGTTCTTCTTCCTGCTTTTTAAGATGAGGAAACTAAAGCAGGTTGACTTACTAAGTTCAATTTGTTAGTAAATGGTTAAACTAGGACTTGAACATAGTTTCCTCGTATATCACATGGACAGCATAGCTCTTCTCCCTCATAATCACAAGTTCTTAACATAACACCTAGATACCTTTTTCTTTAAATAAATAATTTGAGTACATCAAAATGAAGCACAATTAATATTTGATAATATCATGTATTACATACTCCAAGCTCAGGCTGTTTGTAATATCAGCAACAGCAACGAATCTAAGCTCTCTAAATTACTCAAGTCCATACAAATGTTATTATGCATTAATTCAACTAAGAAGTAAAGATGGTACAAAATATCTAGAACATAAAATAAATCAACATGTGCCTTAGAATACATCTGCCTGTAGGTGCATTGACTAGAAAAAATATAGAATGAAAACTGAATATAAACTATTGCAATAATTCTTTCAACTTTAAGGGCAGAGATAGGAAAAGACACATTACATGTTTACAGATACTAATTTCTTACAAATAAATTTTATTTGGTATATTTGTGGTTTACAACACAACCAGACTGCACAGTTAAGCTACGCACATCTTTGTGTATATGTATATATGCAAACACCAATAAAAATAAAAATAAAAAATATTATTTTATACACATTAGTTTATTTTCTATAAAATATCTGCAACCAAAGTTCGGTTTTAGAAGAGTACGAATTACACGCATATTATAGAATACAGGAAGATGTACATCAAAGGATACACATGGTACTTTAAGTGTTAACATGGTGAAATATTTTAGATATGTAAGCCAAAAAAGATTGACTGTATTAAAATGGAGGAGACTATGTGTGAATGTACACATATGTTTATATTTGCTAGCAGATTACCTGAAATATCAATGTTATTTTTTCCTTGACGTTTATAATTTCTGAGTATTTGTTAAAGAGACTAAACCTAGAGACAATAATTTTGATGACATTTAGAAATTTGTTTATGATAGATTTTATGAGGGTAAATACAAATTTTATGGAGTACAGACTTTTGACAACACTTTTCAGGATTTTTTTTGCCTGTGGTACACAATTAACTTAGAATTCGAGCCAATGCACTGCCCTTGACTATATAGCATATGTTGTTAATGGTTGTTGGCTGGTTTTGCTGAATAAGTTTATAAAGTTGTTGCAGCATATTTTCTTCACCAAAAAAAGAAAATAAATAATGCTTCTGTCATGTTATTTTAAGGACATCATTTTAAAGTTAGTTTCATTCCTAGTGGAAAACTCTGCAATGCGATAGTAGTAGCATTGAACTAAGGTTAAAAATAAGGTGAAAAATATCAAGATGATTCTGTGAAGCTTTTAAAAATGTGAAAAGTGTATTTTTGGAAATAGCTTTATAAAAGTTTACTCTGTGGGGAAATGGCCATATGGGACAATGATGAAGGGATATAGTTAATGAATATCATAACTTATGTTATATAGAGGTTAGATGCTATTTGTATAAATTAGGGATATATCACCTTTTAACTGAAGCCGAACATCACCATTTGAAGTCAACACAAGTTAAAACTACATTATCATTACAAATGCACTGAAAAGGGTAAAGATACAAAGTACTTTTTTTCCTATTGACTATCATAAAAAGAAGTTTTTGAATTCTGTTCTCCATCAGTATATTTAGATGAGTTATATATTGCATTAGTTGGTAAAATGGTTTTAGCCTAAGAAGAGAAGACAAGTCTTGGCAAAATAATCAGCATTTGAAAATATGCCAAGACCATGCACAATGGGGTACTAATATTTGTCCTGTTTAACTTATAAGAGTTGGATGTAAAGGAATAGTCATAAAATCTACTGAGAATTAGCATAAGAAAATGCTTGCAGTAATGTGCTATAAAAGATAGAAGTAGTAGGATAAGAACTGAGTGACTCAGGCCTTGAAAAGGTATATTATCCTAGGTCTTTAGAAAATCAACTTTATTCAGGAATAATTTACCTACAATAAAATTCACAAGTTTGTGACCCTACTCAAATCAAAATATAGAATATTTCTATCTTTGTACTTGCCATCCTCACCCTCACCTTCACCCAAGACTATCAGTGATCTGATTATATTACCCTAAGTTTGTTTTGCCTGTTCAAAAATTTTATATAAATGAAACCATACAGTGCAGATTCATTTATAGCTAGCTTATTTCACTCAATGTAACAATGGTGAGATTCACCCACGTTGTTGCAATATTAGAAGTTTGTTTTTATCTCTGAGTTGATTTCCAGTGTATGAATGTATCCTTTTTTAAAAAAATTCATTTCCTTGTTGAGGAATATTTGTGTTATTTCTAGGTTTTTTGATTATTATAAATAAAACTTCCATAAACATTCATATAGAACTCTGTCTGCAGACATATGTTTTCATTTCTCTTGGGTAAATACCTAGGAATAAAATTACTGTGTCACCTACCTAGTATTTACTCATGAGAAATGAAAACATATGCACACACAAAACATTTCCTTGCTAATGTTCAGAGCAGCTGCATTATTTATTTTGTTTCACCTTATTTTTAAAAAATCTCCTTTGAACCAGAGGATGAGATTGAATATGAATGGATGGGGCAGGTATTCTCTTTACTTGTTAAGGAATCAATGATTTCATGGTCAAACATCCCGTGAACTAGCTAAAATGAGAGTGGTATGACAGAGAGGAGGATACATATTGATCTCTGGGGTTTTCAAGGCTCTGAGATAGGAAAAGCTGGGTTGTGCCTAGAGTGGATGTAGTGGAAGAAACGGTGCGTTGCTGTGATTGTATTGATGTGGAGGTAGACTAGGTAGAGTCAGCAGCATGATCGGTCTCTACTTTTCCTAGAGTGGCAGCAGCAATGACAGCAGCAGCTCAGTTATCAACTTTGACTCCTAAGGCACAAGTGGCAGCACAGTGTTGATGAGCAGACAGATCTGCCCAGTAGTCATGCCACAAGGAGGTGGCAAACAGCAAATAGCGCTGGCATAAAGGAATCTATTCAGATCACTGTACCTCAAGAAGGTCCCAGAAATAACTGGAGAAATGACTCTTTGTGTAGGGAGTTAATATCTGGTGAGTAGGCCTTGGAGGCAATAATCTAATAATGTGGATATAAAAACTACATTTGTTTTCATGTTGTTGTCACTGATGGAAGACGACAGTGGAAATGGGATTTATTTTTATTGATTCAGGTAATTCATATGTTTAGGGTTTATAATACAGGGCCTTACAAACATTAGCATAAAACATAGCAGCTCAGGATATATTCTTACTGAATAATTCTACTAGGTTCATTCAGTTTTGGAAACTCTCAGAAATTAATGGTAAAATCTGTTTAAATATTTCTACAATGCAGGCTTATATAATTATATGAGGCTGTGCCCACTGGTTTCGAACATTATTTTGTTTTCTCTATGTACTCCATTATACTAATAAAAAATATTGAGATTCCCCACCAGTTTCTGGGACTAATGTTTCTTCTGAAACAGTCCACAATTTTTCTCCTATTTTTCTGGGTCCCAAGGCATTTTTCAGCATTTCTCAGTTCAGAATTCCAGTTATAATGAGTACTTATTATTTTAGTAGAATTGAAGTCAAAGTATTGTAAGACAGGCATTACAGTTACACATTTTGAGTAGGTCTTAACTCTGCTATTACACTCACAAGGTAACTGAGAATAAGAAATCCATTGCTGGGTGTATTGCAACTGGCATGCTAAATTACAGTTGTAGAATGTAAAAAGAACATGGTTCCATCCTTTTTTCTTTAAGCAGGTAGAATTTAATTTTAATTTTGGCTTTTCCTCTGTCATGTAAAGATCACTATGCCTTAGAATGTTAGTGTCTTCTCTGTAATTATAACTAGTACATTTGAAATCACAAAACCATAACAAAGAGCATCTTTCTAAATGCCTCTGTAGAGTATAGGTTATCACTGGCCATGCAGGCTTACCTCCCACTCTTAACATTGTGCCATTAGTAGCTAAAAATATTCCTCTAATATATGGCTGCTGTAATAACAGGTACACACAGATATTTTTGGTGCTTAGGTTTGAGAACTGACCAGAAATCTTTACTAAAAGCAAAATGTCTTCTTCCTAATTGCTGTTTGCCAGGTGCAATGGTCGGCAGCTCTTATTAAGGTCTACCTCTGGGCTACATTTGAAATAAGCTTAAAATTTCCTTTTCAGTCTAGACATGTTCCTCTTCCACTCATGCTATATGAAGTCTGTGAATATCAGTCCTTCATATGATAATAAGAAAATCAGTTTGTATTCGATGATCTTCTTTAACTCCTTACTAGGCATCATAAAATCATTATTTTATAGAAATTATTAACTATATGGCATTCTAAGTAAGAAAAGTTTGATTTTATATCCCTGTTCCTATTGAAAGTAGATCCATGTCAAACATATAAATCTAATCCATTAATAATATTTCTTAAATAATATTTGTTCTTATTGTCCTAATTTCAGTTTTATGAGATTTAAATTGTACAATATGTTGACATAGAAGGAAAAAGATTCTCGGAGTTCCAGATGTTACACACGGATCATATAAAGTGTTTCTGGGGTATACAGAAACTGAGAATAACACTCAGTATTGATATCAGAGATGTGGTCAGTTCCTTGGAGAAGAAGAGAACATGAAGCCTTATGACACTCCCATGACTTTCCCACAGAGAGCAGCTATGATTTTTGTATATCTTTCTTTCCAAAATAAAGAAAATTAAATAAAAGACAGAGACCACTTGAGATTTCCCATCAGTCTTATGATCATCTTGACAAGAATTAATAAGACCAGGCATCTTACTTACATTTTTTACATCAGAAATAAAATTGTTACGAACTCTAACATACTTTTGAAAAATTGAGGAAAACAAAAAGCCTTGTTAACCTGAAAGTGATGTACATGACTCATTATTGTTCCAACCCAACCTACCTCTTCCCCTTCACCTCCAGCATTTTTGAAATGAGCTCTTTTCCCACAACAGCCAACAGTGCACAGCATGTGGGTGCCCTGTCCCTCTCATGCCTCCACAGATTCATAGATGTAGTTACATTGCCCTAGAAGGTTCTTTCTTTTATTTTCCCTCTTATAACCGTCTAAGTAAAGGTCCACCATAGCACTTCTCACCTTGTATGGTAAGTATTCATTGGGCTGTCCCTAGGAGAAAGCTGAAAGAAACTTTGATGCAAAAGTGAATCTTACTTGGATATGAATATGTGATACATCTCACATTTCTGACACATAGTACATAATCAGTAAGCACCTACTGAATAAATGGAATTTCACCGCCAAAGCTCCATAAGCTATGGATATAGACATAGAAACACATTTTTAAAAATTGAGACTCTGTCTTCAGGCCTAGCAGTTCAAATTTATGCTATTATATCAACATTGGATCAATCTAAAGAACTCCGACGTGTGATTCAAAATGTTACTAAGCTATGCATTATTAATGTAATACTAGATAGGAAGGGAGTGATATGATTTCTGAATATGAAACATTACTTACTAATATTGTGAAGGAAAGAGAAATGAAGAGATTATACACTTTACAATGGCATTACACTATCTCAAATAAACATATCCTAGAATTTGTCTCATTTGATTCTTTTCCTTTTCCTGATAACACACGAGAGGAGCTTAGTAATACTTTGAGGATATTTGTTCCTCTAGGGACCAAATGAAATGCTCTCGCTTTTAACTTATTTTAATGGACCTTTAAATGTGAATCATAATATCTGAAAACTTATATTTTAAGGCAATGAATTCCAAACATAAGTTTTTAAATAAGACTAGAATATTTTACAAGTACTAGAGAAGAAATAATATCACATGAAACCAACAACTTTAAACTTACTATATTTTTCCCAGAAAGCAGTAGATCTTTATATATGCTGAGATTTCCTTTGAAAGAATTTTCGTACGATTTGATTGCTATGAAACAAAAAAGTATGATTTTCAAAATTAAGTGTAAGAACATTGTTGTGATGTTTTATTCATTCATAAAATATTTACAGACAAATAAAGATATACCTTTAAGTGTGGCTGAGAAATCAATACTCAACTCAGAATATAGATGGGAAAGTGTAAACCAAAAATATCATTAAGGATACAATTTAAAATATTTGAAAATAAATATATCTTCCTCTATATATATTTAAAACAAAGATCTATAGAAGAGAATCTTCAATAGAAAATTTGAAAATTCCTCAATTTTCTTCAAAATCAATGGATTTACATTTGCTTTTCAATAAATTCAAATTTCTTTTGCTTCTGTGAGAGGCACCAGCACAAGGCACAGGGATTTCCTAGCAGAGCGGTGGCCATCCCCATGCCTCTGACCTCTGCCCACCATGGGCTGGAACTAAATTGCTACCTTCTCCTTGCTCCACAGAAGGAGATAGAGAGCTGCAGGGGTCCCCATGCTGGGCAAACCAGTGAGCCAGCAGGGAGGCTGGTCCAAGGAGGAAGTGGGCCAGATCCCATGACCTCGCCCCACTCCCTCTACACAGGACGCTTCATATAGATGTGTACAATATATGTACTTTTTAAAGTGACCTCCCTCTCCTTCTGCAGACCCTACATGCCCAAAGCCCAAAGCCCTTGGGACTTCCCACCACTTTGCTCCACAAATCCAGCTAAGCCTGACCTGTGACTCATCCGTTGCCACTTGGTATCTGTCTGATCTCCAGGCTTTGTCTTCCTCTCGTCAGTTATTTTGATTATGATTTGTTGTTTTTTTTTTAAACTCAAAAAATAGAAGACTCGGAGGAAAAAAGAAATATATATATATAGTGATAAGAAAATAGTGATAGTATAGTGATAGTATATAGTGATAGAAAAATTAGAACAAATACGATATTTAACTAAACCAATGTTTTGTTGTTGTCAAAAAACTTGGAAAAACAGTTGGAATTCTTATATACAAATAACTAAAACCAATCACTGAATAATTAAGTGAGATTAACCCAAGATCGTTATGCCCTCTTTCAAATAGAAGGATGAGCTGCCTTAAAAATAAAGGAGACAGTGATAATAAAGGAATGGCTTTGTGTCAAACTTAGAAGAGCCAACTGAATGAGATGATACAGGGAGTTGTGTGTTGCCTGAGTTATGTCCAACCTGAAATCAGAAATAAAGTGAAATCCCAATGGTAATAAAAAGCATTCAGAATATAGGCATGATATATTATAGGGAAAATCTTAGACCTAAGATCAAAGATGAAATACTTTTTAAAATGCAAAGCACAAGGGAAATGTGCACTACCAAAATAGGCATATCACTGTGTTTCATGACTAAGCCCTGGGACATGAAGGAGAGGAGATCAAAGCAGTCACAGAAGTCCTGGTGACCAGAAAAGTTACATCCCACTGGGACTTTCCTTTTCAACTCTGCACACAACATAAGAAGAAATCTTGTCTGCAACAGACTCCGCAGAGACTAAGAATGCTGAAAAAGTTTGGACATTTACTTAGTTGTTACAACGGCAAGAAGAAGGCATGAAACACACACACACATATACACACACACGTATATGTGTAGATATATACATACGTATATGTATATATATACACACGTATATGTATACATGTGTGTATATATACATGTATATGTGTATACATGTGTGTATATATACATATACGTGTGTATGTGTATATACATGTATATATCATGTGTATATATGTGTATATATCATGTGTATATATGTGTATATATCGTGTATATATGTGTATATATACATATGTGTATACATGTATATGTGTATATACACTTATATGTGTGTATACATGTATATACATGTGTATATACACATATATGTGTGTATATATACATATATGTGTGTGTGTATGTATATATGATAGGAACAAATCACACACACTCCTGGAAATTGGGAACTAAATAGATCCTACTATTCAAACAAACTTTAAAGATGGAAATTTGCCCCCAAAATAAAAAATAAAATCATTTTACCCATGGAGAAACAACTAAAGTGTTAGCATTTGAAATAAGTATGCTACAAATATTTTTCACATGAATAGCCACAGTAATAGGAATTGTGTCTAACATGAAATATGCAGAATTTTCCCTTGTCCACCACAAAAACCTCTCTAAAGTATAATAGAAACAAACAGTTGTTTCCTTGATTTTTGTGGCTTTACATTCTTTTTTGTTTATTTGTGGACAATTAACTTCAGTGTCAGTCCAGCCCTTAATTTGTTTATAAATCTTGTGGAAAAAATATCAGATTCCCAGTTTCTAGATGCCAGTGTTCTGCAATATTACAAAAGCAGCATTTTGAGTCTTGGGTTTTTGGTCCATAACTCCTCTGAAACTACTCTAGCCAAGGTTACTTACAACATCGTTTGTCACTAAAGAAAAGGACACAATTTTTACCAAACTTGGACTTTTTAAAGCATATTGCCTCGTGTCTATTTGCTGTCCAGAATGCACACTATTATTGGACTATGGGGAGCTGCTACTCGACATTTTTTTTCTTTGTTTCACCTGCTCTCAAATCTCTTAAATATCCTCACTCATTGGTATTCCATGGTTGCACTTCTCTCTTTATATATTCCCCCTGGTTGGCTTCATCTGGACAAGATTTTCTGATTAGCTAAATGCTTACGACTCCATCTGGCATTTAATGCAGAACGGAAATTGGCAATCAATATCAACATCTAAGCTTCTGAAACGCATTCTTTTCAATACTTGGTTGCATTTTTAAGTCATTAGAGTCCATATATGATAAAACGGTAATTTGAATGTGTAAAAAATGGATTTTTAATATATAGGACAATTAGCAATCCATTAAAAATAATAAATATAGATTTCTATCTAAGGCCATACACCCAAATAATTCCATATGGATTAAACATTAAAAATATTATAAGTTGTGTGTGAGTCATATCAAAAAGATAACGATAAGATCAGGCTTCTTTTTTTAAATTTATTATTATTATATTTTAAGTTTTAGTGTACATGTGCACAATGTGCAGGTTTGTTACATATGTATACATGTGCCATGTTGGTGTGCTGCACCCATTAACTCGTCATTTAGCATTAGGTATATCTCCTAATGCTATCCCTCCCCCCTCCCCCCACCCCACAACAGCCCCCGGAGTGTGATGTTCCCCTTCCTGTGTCCATGTGTTCTCATTGTTCAATTCCCACCTATGAGTGAGAACATGAGGTGTTTGGTTTTTTGTCCTTGAGACAGTTTGCTGAGAATGATGTTTTCCAGCTTCATCCATGTCCCTACAAAGGACATGAACTCATCATTTTTTATGTCTGCATAGTATTCCATGGTGTATAGGCAATACCATTCAGGACATAGGCATGGGCAAGGACTTGATGTCTAAAACACCAAAAGCAATGGCAACAAAAGCCAAAACTGACAAATGGATCTAATTAAACTAAAGAGCTTCTGCACAGCAAAAGAAACTACCATCAGAGTGAACAGGCAACCTACAAAATGGGAGAAAATTTTTGCAACCTACTCATGTGACAAAGGGCTAATATCCAGAATCTACAATGAACTCAAACAAATTTACAAGAAAAAAACAGCCCCATCAAAAAGTGGGCAAAGGATTGAACGGACACTTCTCAAAAGAAGACATTTATGCAGCCAAAAAACACATGAAAAAATGCTCATCATCACTGGCCATCAGAGAAATGCAAATCAAAACCACAATGAGATACCATCTCACACCAGTTAGAATGGCGATCATTAAAAAGTCAGGAAACAACAGGTGCTGGAGAGGATGTGGAGAAATAGGAACACTTTTACACTGCTGGCGGGCTTCTTTTATGGATAATAAAAAAGGAAGTTTAGTCTTTGAGATCCCAGTAACAACACTATTTTAGATTAATTGGTTTAATGTAGTAATTTTAAAGCTCTGACACAAACATAAAAGCATTCTTTATACTAGTGAAGTATATTTGCAATTTTGAAAACACTAACAGGATTAATTTATTTAACACTGTCTAACAGTATCATAGATATGTTTTATTTTGACAAAACAGGCTTGAATGGCTACTTATATGTTACTTTGAGTTTGAAGAAATAGGAGATCACAACACTTATATGAAATACATGTAGCAAATGCTTTAATGTGACATATCAACCACAATACAACCTTTTTGAAATATAGATCTCCTATAAATGAGATTATTTAATAAACAGTCATAATCAATAAAAATTAGGCTCAATGCATATCTTCCTATTAAACACATTAGTTGAAAGTTAATGTATTATGTAGCAGCAGATTTTTAATATTATGTAGCAGTAAATTGTTTCAAGCATTTTTGACTTTGAAATTCTTCCTACCAAGAAAATCTTAAACTAGAGGTTGAATAAAGAGAACAGATTTTCTCTACAATTTGTAATTGTAGGACTTCTTTGGCTAAAATGGGTTTAAAGTTTAGAGAGCCCTAGACACAAAGGATATCCAAAGCACGTCTGAGGAACGTCCAAGCTCTGTGGAATGCAGTTCTGCTTTGCAGATGATCATTTAATACAATCATTGCCAACATTATTCTAACAGACCATTAGTTATTTTTACACATTCCATTAATAGCTGTAGGGCACAACTTCTTCTCTGTATTTATATTTTTACGCATAAATACGAATTAGTTTTTACTTTTCAGTGAATAGAATACACCATTTTAAGTGAACATTTATTACTTTAATATTGTGTAATATTTTATGATGTAAAGTTGTATCCAGGAATAAAATATTGAAAATGTACCATAAGGACATATTTTAATGGTATTATTAGGATAAAAGTAGCATTCTTCAAGAGTAAATATTCAATTTATATATATTACTGTGAATGAACCGAATGACCATTCTTGGTGCCCACCAAAAAACAAATTATCTTTCCACAGCTTTTTATGCTGCTGGCACCAAGATTTTTGAAAAACAAATGTCATTACCTTTCTGTCTAAGTTCTATATGCCTTTTTGTCTCACCATATACTTTGCCTTGAAATTGCTTTCCTCTGAGTATACTGTTCTTTCAAAATTGCAATACATGAATAGGCCTTCAATGTCAGAGAAAATTAGGTGAAGCTGGACACTCACAGGTAAAAGAGAACATTTTTGTTTTAAGAATGATGTTAGGCTTTTATTTCCCCATAGGTTTTTGGGGAACAAGTGGTATTGGGTTACGTGAGTAAGTTCTTTAGTGGTAATTTGTGAGATTTTGGTGCACCCATCACCCGAACAGAATACACTGAACCTGATTTGTAGTATTTTATCCCTCACCCCTTTCCCACCTTTTCCCACTGAGTCCCCAAAGTCCACTGTGTCATTTGCAGGCCTTTGCATCCTCATAGCTTAGCTCCCAATTATGAGTGAGAACAAACGATGTTTGCTTTTCTATTCCTGAGTTACTTCACTTAGAATAATAGTATCCAATCCCATCCAGGTTGCTGCAAATCCCATTAACTCATTCCTTTTTTATGGCTGAGTAGTATTCCATCATTCATATATATATATATATATATATATATATATATATATATATATATATATATATCACAGTTTCTTTATCTACTCGTTGATTGATGGGCATTTGGGTTGGTTCCACATTTTTGCAGTTGTGAATTGTGCTGCTATAAACATGCATGTACAAGTATCTTTTGAGTGTAATGACTTCTTTTCCTCTGGGTAGATACCTAGTAGTAAGATTCCTGGATCAAATGGTAGCTCTACTTTTAGTTCTTTAAGGAATCTCCAAACTGTTTTCCATAGTGGTTGTACTAGTTTACATTCTCACCAGCAGTGTAAAAGTGTTACCTTTTCACTGTCTCCATGTCATCATCTATTTTTTTTAAATTTTTTTTATTATGGCCATTCTTGCTGGAGTAAGGTGGTATTGCATTGCGGTTTTGATTTGTATTTCCCTATCGTTAGTGCACTAGTCTGTTTTCATGCTGCTGATAAACACATACCCAAGACTGGGCATTTTACAAAATCAAGAGCTTTATTGAAGTTACAGTTCCACATGGCTGGGGAGGCCTCACAATCATCGCAGAAGGCCAAGAGGTGCAAGTCACATCTTATGTGGATGGCAGCAGGCAAAGAGAAAGCTTGTGCAGAGAAACTCCGACTTTTAAAACCATCAGATCTTGTAAAACCCATTCACTATCACGAGAACTATCAGGAAAAACCTGCCCCCATGATTCAATCATCTCCCACTGGGTCCCTCCCACAACATGTGGGATTTATGGGAGCTACAAGATGAGATTTGGGTGGGGACACAAAGCCAAACGACATCAATTAGTGATGTTGGGCATTTTTTTCACGTTTGTTGGCCATTTGTTGACATTTATGTCAAGAATCTATTCACAGATCTCAACAGTGTTAAATATTAGCCTGTTGGAGATGTTGAGCATTCTCAACATTGCCATTGTTTCAAGACCCTTATGAGAAGTATTCCTAAATAAAACACTAGCAAGTTGTTTCTATTTCAGATTTATAATGGTGTCTAAGTTGTTATGAATCTCATCTTCATCAGCAATGTAAGAAATTTCGAGTGATATAAGGAAAGGTTATTAATTATAAGTACATTGCAAATATCAATCATAATAAAAATGACAAATAGCATAAGCTAACAAACCCTGTAGTTTGTTTGTATTTTTCTAGAGTGTTTTTCTGAATTGGCATAAGTTCATTTTATTCTCACAAAGAAATAACATATTCTCAAGCATTGTATTATAGCTTGGTTTTTCCATTAAATTTTTATTATAAATAGTTTTCCATATCATCAAGTATTTTCTACAATATTTTTTAAATGTCAAAATATTTTAGAGCATAGGTGCAATATCTAGCTCACCAACCCTTAATGAATATATATTTTTTCCATTACATAATGCTACAATTAACATCTTCACCAATACTGTGCAGAAATCCTTATTGTCTGAGGATTATTTTCTGCATATGGCACTTCAGAATTGAAGAGAATGCATATTTTACAACTTTTGGTGCATTCTTCCCTGTTGAAAGCTTGTGAACTTTTTCACAGCCACCAATCATGGACAAGAATATACCAACACTAATATCCCCAAAACTATTATCGTCCAATTTTAAATGGCATTTAACTGACCTATTTGGTTTTTTTTCGTAATATGTAAGAAGTCACCGAAAATATTTTTTTCATGTCTTTATTGGTATTTGTATTGTTTCTTTCTGAATCAACCACTTTTCCTTATATTAACTGGTTTTACAACAGAATTATCTAATATTCCAGAACTATGTCTTACTTTTTATTGTATATTATTATTTTCATAAAGTCTGCATTTTATTTGCTGTTAGTTTATTTAGAAAAATTTGTATCTATCATCATTCTTGAGATTCATCTATAGATTTTATAAGTTGGTATGTTTCTTGACCATAATTTTGGGCTATGTTTTTATTATCATATTAAATCATACTAGCTGCTTTAAAAAAACAGTTCAAGAATATTGAGGACTTAGTCTTGCTAAACAAAGTCAATATGCAGGTGGTCCTGTTTCAAAAACTCTACTGAGCAGCTCCTCCAAACTCATGGGCTCAAACTGCTTCTACTTTGCAATGTTTTTCTCTTTAAAATTTGGCCTTCATGTTTGACCCACAAGAGAATAGCACAGCATGGGTCATTGTGCAAGGAAGCTTTGGCAAGCATGAACCGATGGACAGCAATTCTGTTCAAATATCCTTGGCCAAATCAGGAACATGACCCCAGTGTTGCAGGAGTGGCAGAATGTAGGTTTTCTCTGAATAAGGAAGCATCTAAGTAATTTTGAGATTTTTGATTTACTTTGTTTAATATATTAATAGAGTTGAGAAATTACTTATAGTGGAAGAGTTTAAATATGATAATTATCTGTTTCTTGAGGGTGCCAAATATTTCAGTTTTGTTTAAATATTAACCTATATCAGATCTCTGACATTACTGACACTTTTTTTCTATCTATTCAGTTTTTCTCCTGCACCATGAGGCAATTATGAAAGTTCCTGTCTTTCTTTAAATTCTTACTTCTAGCACAACTAAACATTTTTCACATAGAGATATATTTATTAAATTTTAAAGATTAACTTTTATATTGTCACTTCTCCTTTTTATTCTAACATTTTGGTTTAGATTGTTGATTGTTCCACTTATTTCTTAATATTTTATATTTTCACTAAAATAAGATTTAAATATAATTATTCTATCTTTCAATTTTAAAATTATTTGATTTTTCTATTTTCTATTAGTTTTAATTATTTATGTAATTAATTTGAATAAATGAATTCATTAATATTAAAAATAGACTAATTATAGAAGCTTAGAAGTCATGAAGATTAGCATTACAACTTTGTAGATGAATACACTGAGACTCAAATAACTTCAATACCTTTTCAAATTGTAGTGTAATAACTGAGGGAGGCTATTAATAACCAGCTTCCTTCTTTAGTTCTTAGGACACTTAAAATGTCCACATTTGGCTAAATGTATAAAATATTGCTTAATCAGGCATGGTAAAGTTTGCCTGTGGTCTCAGCTACTAGGGGAGGCTGAGGCAAGAGGATCACTTAGGCCCAGAAGTTCAAAGCTGCAGTGAGCTATGATCATGACACTGCATTTCAGCCTGGTGTCAGAGCAAGATCCTGTCTGTGAAACAAAAATAAACCAAAAGGCATAAAATAAAATATGGCTTCCACTGTTTTTAAATATATTAACTTTAGATTTAAAAAAATCACTATAATACTTTGTAGAACTTGTAACATCCTATCACCAAATATCCACTATAACAATTTAAATTTAAATATAATAATGTAAACTGGTGTTTGAATCATAAGTTTAGACTATGAAGTCAAAACAGCAACTTGTTTTTATTTTATTAATTTTATTTTCTACTTTAAAAATGACTCTCCTTTTGTTAGGAGTGAGAGTAGAAACTCACCATCTTCTTTGCCACTGTGGTCAAAGTTAAAACAGTTTCTGGCTAGTGGCTTAAATCTGCCATGGATATGAAATGAATGTCTAAGTGATTGTATGATGTATTTCTTTCCATGTAGTCCATCTATCATATGATGACACTGATGCTTATAGAAAAGCTATGAAAGAGCCTTATTCTATTTTATTACTTGTTGGTAATTAGGCAGTTTGATCAGTGACATCTTCCAGTATATTAATAAGCTGGTTGCCAGGAATTTGATAAATATGTGACCAGGAGTCTGTTAAGTAGGATATCATCCGTGGTACACTATGGCTGCAGTTTTTACAGAGGCTAGAAATAGCCTTACATAATTTATACATGTTCTAAGAAATTTTTCCAGGTATAATATATTCATTTGGCATTTCAAAAATGATTATTTTTTTTACTTTGTAAATCATTAAGATCAAGTACTTTATTTTTAAATTCTATTTTCAAATTTTTTAATAGAAATATCTCTATCACTTCAATAGAAATTCCTTAATGCATTGCTACCTGAGTAATGATGATGCTTATTTATAAATTATATAGAACTAATTAAAAACTTATTAAATAGCAAAAACCAGTGTGTCCTAACATAATTAAGTAGTATTAGAGAATGAAATAGTCATATGTTCTTAGATAGAAGAAAGATGTTATTGGATTGCTACATAAATTATTTGACCTCTGTGAATCAAATTAGTGCTTCTAATGAGTATCTATAAACACAACCAAGTATAAACTCTTCCTGCAAATAGTTTTCATGAAATAACAAAAGTACATCAAATTTTATATAATAGCAAAAAATTAAGAAGAATAAAATTCGAATTTACATATTAAGGCATATGGCAAGTGTTGCTTTGATAAAACTAAGCTGCTACGCCTGACAACTATGATACTGACTCCTCTGACAGAGTGCTTTGAAATCTACCCTCACATCACTATGCTTTGGAAAAATTCAATTTTCCTACTTTTCATTCATTTGAATTACATAGGGGTTATGGACCCCAATTGGAGAAATAAGGCAGAAAGAGTCACAATTTCAACATATATAAGGAGAGACTTTTTATATTATAAGGTGATACTGTTTGGCTGTGTCTCCATCCAAATCTCATCTTGAATTGTAGTCCCCATAATCCCCACGTGTCATGAGTGGGGCCCAATGGGAGGTAACTGAATCCCAGGGGCAGTTACTTCCATACTGTCCTCATGATACTGAGTTCTCACGAGATTTTATGGTATTTTAAGGGGTTCTTCCCCTTTTGCTCAGAACTTCTCCTTTCTGCCACCATGTGAAGAAGGATGCGTTTGTTTCCCCTTCTGCCATGATTGTAAGTTTCCTGATGCTTCCTCAGCCCTGCAGAACTGTGAGTCAATCAAACCCCTTTCTGTTAGAAGTTACCCAGTCCCAGGCAGTTCTTCATAGCAGCTTAAGAACAGACTAATACATAAGGAAAGTAGAAAGAGGGTCAGTAATACCACAATAATATTTAGTTTTATTTTATTTCTCCATAATTGAATAGATTTTCCTATGCTAACATGTCTTAAGTTTAATTAGTAATTTAATAAATATTTATCACTCATATTGAGGAGAAACAGAAAATATTAAGGCAATTAGCAAACTGAAAAATTATAACTGTGTACTGTTTAATTCTTAAGGCTAATCTTCGAATAAACTTTTGTGATAAAGGGTTCAAATCTGTGCACTGAAATAATTAAAAATATAAATTAAAAATGAAAATACTTGCTGGCAAAATTAATTAATAGGCAAATTGATATTTATTAGATCATATGGACATAAGTAAATGAATTTAGAAGTTTATTTCAACCCTTAATCTGAACAACATGCAAATATCCTAGCTGAGTTTTAATTATGTAAGTAGTGATTTGTAAAGGAAATATTGTAAAAGCTCAAAATAAAACAGAAATCAGCCATAATTCCATCATTTTTTATATAGAGAAGCTCCCCAGTTTAAAAATGATTAGGTTCTAAAAGGCTGTTTATAAGATTTCTTCATAAACCCAAGGTGAAACTATATAGCAACAGCTGACATAGTCTTGATATTCAAATTGACTACATTTTGTCTCTTAGTTTTTCTAATTAATTGAAAGTTGGCGAATAGAGAAACTGGAACATGTAAAGAAAGAAATTGGTTCTTTGCATGTGCAATCTCATTATTTTAAGATAGCCTAAGATAATTGCAAGGTAGTCACTAGAAGTTTGATATACATATTTGTGTTCATATATTTAAATATTATATGCATATGTAAATATATACCTATATTTACATACAAATATATTTACACTTGTTATTCTAAATTTTACAATAGAAACATTTCAAAAACTAATCTAATAAAAGGAGCTCTTCAAGTAACACAAATTAGCTTTGCTACTCTTCAACAATAATTAATCTGAACCCAACTCTAATATCTGTAACTTTTATCTGAAATGAGAAAGCACTCTTGTTTTGCTTCTACAGCAGCATTGTTTTAGTGGTATAAATAGCTACCATCATATTTAAAAGCTTAGATATGAAGGGGAGTCATAAAAATTAATGTCAGCTAAACATACAAATTAATTAAAGAAAATCTAATGAGATCTTCAGAGATTCTAGAACCTTCATTTCAATTGTCCCATGCTACTGCAGATTCTCTAAGATCCATTTCTCTGACCAAATCCTCTATTTTGCAGACCACATTCTTTTCGTATCTTTAAAAACTGTGCCTCAGACAGTATTTCTCCTTTTCCTTGATTCCTTGTATTTAAAAGACATTAGAATGCACTCATTTTTGGTGCTTTTTTTTTTTACATTCTGAGAGGATTTTCAGTGAGCACTAATTGCTGCTAGATGATTATCTGGCCAAGATATTATCAAATTAAGAACTAAATAGGGCCAGGTATGGTGGCTCATGCCTGTAACCCCAGCAATTTGGGAGGCCGAGGCAGGAGGATTTGCTTGAGGCCAGGACTTCAAGACCAGCCTGAGTAAAATAGCAAGTCCCCTGTCTCTCCAAAAAATTAAACAAAAAAATTAGCCAGGTGTGGTGACGTGTGCCTGTAGTCCCCGCTACTGGGAATGTGAGCTGGGAGAATCTTTTGAGCCAAAAGACAGGCTGCAGTGAGCTAGAATGGCGCCACTGTCATTGATCCTGAGGGATAGAGTGACACTGTATCTAAAAGGATAAAAAAAATCAAACACTATTAGATACCTATATTTTCTAATTTGTTCATAAGCAAAATATAAATCACATTTTACTTCATATATATTAAATGTACACGTAGATCAATCTTAGGGCAAGACTGGTCCTTACGTTTGGAGATGTGAACCATAGGCCCATGATTTACATATTTAAAACATAAGGAGTCAGAGCTAGTAATACCTACCTCCCAAAATTATTGCAAAGTTTAAAGATATATATGTGACATGTCTTTGTCAATGTCTATGTGCTGTAACAAGATAAATATTCCTAAAATTTAAATAAGATTAAATCAAATCTCTGTGTCCTAATTTAAGGAAATTTAATGCATGAAAATCCAAACATATATGACATATGCCAGCAACCAAAATTTTATATGTGTAGCAGTTCTATTTTAAAAATATAGTTCATATTGGGACTAAGAAAAGACAAGTATTTTTCTTTTTTTAAAAAAAATCTACATTTTACTGCTACAGAGGAGACAAATAAATGGTTATAAGTTACTTATCAAAGATCACGAGGATAATAAGTATAGGGGCTGGAACTATGACCTAGGTGTTAGAATTTCCTTCTACTTCACAAGGAGAATTTATATAAATGTTTGTATATAGTGACACACTGAAGTGAATTGAAATAAGATTGAAGTCTGTAATAAAAAGTATTGTTACACTAATTTCTCTTTTTAAACACTGCCTGAAAAAGGAATAACACAAAGTTCATGTCCAAAGAAATAAGAAAATAAACCATAACTTCAAGCCACAAGCAATGAAGAGTATCTGCAAGACACTGTAAAATCTATACACACAAGAAAAAAAAAAATAGAGGCAATTCATGGTTCCCTCAACTCTGAAAGTGGCTCAGAATTCAGTCACTTTTCTGATACCATTCTTAAAATAATACGATTTAGGGACATGGGGTAAAACCATGGGAAGAGAATAACGTCCCCAAAGTCCCGAGTTTCATAATGCCAAATAGAAGACAGAATTGAAAAAGGAAATATGTTCTATTACCCAAAGCATAGAAAGGTTAAAATAACTTTCCAAGACCGCAAAGCTAGTAATTGGAGGTGGCAGGATTTGAACTCAGACACTCGGGTTCTCAAATCAGGGCACTTCAGCATTACACCTTTCTCATGTCTCAGGAAAATACTTCTATGTCTTAAGTGGCCTAGCACAGTGTTTAGCACATTTGCATGCTACCTTCTGTGCACAATATTACACATTTTCCATCTTGTCTAGGCCTAACCACCCGCTTATGAAAGCAAGCCAATTTACCTGCCCTCACATTGCTACTTCAGTTACCCTAGCACTGTGCTGACTTCTCGATCCTCACAGACACCATACTCAAGCTTCCCCTAGTAAAAGCAACAGCAAATTACAGAAACAAAAACAACCAAACAAAATCCTCTTTATCCTTTCACTTTTTTAATCCACGCACACCACAAACAATTATAATGTGGCTTCTTCCCTCACTCTCTAAGTTACCAGTTCCTGCCAACTCTACTCTGAAGAATTCCTATGTCCAGTCCTTAGTGACTTGTCATGCTGTTACTGCCCACACCATTCTTTGCTTTAATTAGTGCAATGTATAGTGAGATACCATCTTAAAACATATTCACATGCTTTCTTTTTGACACTTCTTTTTTCTGTTCTTTCACCTATTCAGCTAAAAGAATCCATTAACTTCAGAAAAATTAGGATTTTATAGCAGAGATGCAAAGATAATGAAAGTAAAACTTCAGCATTTGAATTCCAAATTAAGCTCCTGAAAGCATAGTTATGAATTCAAATATTGGGGAAGAAATTTTTAAAAGGCTTTAATATACCCCAAAACAATGCCTTGAAAAACCAGTCAAAAGATTATTCAATAAACTGAATTGAGTTGGTTTTATTAAAAAGGGATAGAGAAAGTTCTAGGTGATATTTCCTTGAGAAAAAAATTGAGTTTCCACTGGCTAGGAGTGCGTTTCAGAGGGAAGGAGGGAGGAGGGTTTTGATCGTCTAGTGTAAGGCCACAGAGATGATGGAGTCAACATTGAAAGCCTTCCCAGTCTCTGGTCAACGAGCACCCAGGAGGCTCCATGAAAAGTGACGCTTGTGTACAGGTGTCTGAGGGAGGCCCGCATGTCGAAAGAATCGAAGAGCTGAGGTTACAGTCTTTCTCATCACTATCTTTGTGGGCTTCCCCTTTGCAATGGTCCGAAAGTTTCCCATTGGTTCTCTAGAAAGAGTGGACCTACATGGCTTCAAGGCTTTGCTCTCCTACCTAATATACTCTGTGTACACAATTTCCTTATCAATGGGAGCCCTCCTCATTAACTGTAGCCCTAAAATAGAGGGTATAGTCCAGAGCACCAGGAAGGTTAGTATCAAAGTTTGGAAATAAAATTATTCTAGCTCCCAGGAGCTACACTTGGGTCAATTTTCTCCTCCAAGAGTACAAGGATGGAATTTGTCTCCAGCTTGTGGAGATTTAAATTCTACTTCCTATTACAGTTTTTTAAACTGTTTTACATATCCATGATTTTTTCTTGTTTTATTTCAAACTTCCATAAATCACAGGGTTCTTTTTAGTTTTTCATTTTTAAAGTATAGATTTATCACCAATGTATTCCAATAAATGTGTACACACTTCTTACAATATACAAATTAATTACAATTTTTTTTTACCAAAATTTCAGCCTTTGTTGCCTGGATATTTCGAATTTCTTAGTTTCCAGATACAATCCTAGCTACTTTTCAATGTTGTCTGTACAATTCCCCATTCTTTACCCAATGCACATTCCTCACTGATCTATTCAACATTCTTCAGACACTAAAGTTTGTTTATAACACTCTGCATATGCCAGAAACAACTGAAATAAAAACCCACAATACCTTTTTCTGTTGTTTGCTTGCGCAAAATTCTGCTCCACTTACAGGAGGAAACATTGGAGGAAGGTAATTTCAGCTCTTTTCCTGTTCTCCTTCATTTGTTCTTCCACCAGGAGAAGGACCTACTTATCTGAGTGGGGATTTGAGTAAAATGACCTAAATATGTGTGACTTGAAGTCTTATCTTCTCTAAGGCTTATCGCCCTTAATTAGGCACAAGTGTACCTAATTACTCTTCAAGCTGCAGTAAACCAGTGGGCAAATTCCACTCCTCATGAGAAAAGACCTGATGTTTTAGGTAGGTGATTTTAATTAAGAGTGTGAATCAGTAGGAAACCTACTCTGGCAATATCAGAAATAAAGCTGACATATGATCACCATCTGTCTGACTATTGCACCTATTTTTTGTGGTTTCAGAGGGAAAATACAAGAAGAAACTATTATCCTCAAACACTATCACTTAATTTGGAAAACTTTGAGAAGGCATTGAGGATCAAAGAAAGATTTGGAAAGCTCAAGCCTTTTTTCTGGTGTGGCAAAACTGTAAGCTTTAGTGACTTAGTGTTTAATAAATTTAGGCCATGAAAAGCCTTAAACATGATTGCTTATAGAAGCTCATGTGGATGGCACCACAGGCAAGTGTTACTTTTATTGGGCATTGAGTTGTTTTCTAAAAGGCAAGGAAGACAGGAAGGACGTCAGCAGAATCTGAACTAAGCAGGCAAGACTGAGATGGTGAAGAGATTACCAGAAGAAGCTAGCGTTACCTCTCTATTTAAGAATCATATTAGAATTTCTGGGGTCCCTATATACAACACTTTTTTTTTTTTTGCTACGCTACTGTTGAGATAAATTATTTGTATTTATTCTATTTCTCAGTCATGTCTATAAATCACTTGACAAAAGAAAATAAGTTTGATTTGGTTTACAAAATAGTAATATGTACTTAGGGAGCATTTAAATTAAAAACATGAGCTCATAATTGGTGACAAGAGTATTTGCTCCTTTCAATTCTGTTGTGTTGGAAATACAACTTGCACAAAATGAAGAGTATATTTAAGGAGATTACTGCAATATGGCCACTTCTTTGCCTTCCGTAACACACACAAAATTTGCTATATCAAACTTATACGCACAATATTTTGGTTTTAGGAATTAGGTTGGCCCAGGGAGTGAAAGGATAAATGACAACAGGCAATAGAAAAAAATCTAGGGTGTTTTAGATAAGGAAGAAATAACTTCTACCTTCAAACTTAGAGAAAATTAAGGAATTTAAAGATAAAATCAATTTCTGGGAGAAATTTACGATGTTGGGTGATAGGCTAGAAAAATATAAATGTTACAGCTGACTCAACAAGCTAGAGCTAATACTCATGGAGAATATACTGGTATTGTTGTACCATTTTTGAAAATAATTGTTTGTACCAATCAATAGATGCCTGCTTCCTTGACTATCCTGAGGGCCTCTTCCTCTGGTTTCTAGGATAGCTCAGACCCTTCTTTAGCAGGGTATTTTTCATAAAACCTAGCAATTAAAAAGAACACCAGCCATAGCAAGAGACTTTCAGGACTTGCTTTAACTTCTAGCTTACATTTCTGATTGGTCTGTGCCAAACTAGTTGATACATATTTTGGTTTTGGTTTATTATTATTATTTTATAATTTTTTTAACTTTAAGCTCTGTTGGACCTGCTTGACAAATATGTTGAATATTATCCTTGCCCCAAGACATAATTCATCTTTAAGATGAGCCATAAAAATGGTGAATGGCCTCATCATCCGGAGTAACACTCTTGTCTCCTGGCCACAGATAATGAGGACACAGATTCACAAAGAGTAAGGTTGAGAGCAGAAGTTTAATAGGTGAAAGAAAGAGAATAGCTCTCTGCTGCCGAGAGGAGTCCCAGAAAAATGGGCTGCTGGATCCATGATGAAATGCAAGGGGTATTACAGATGAGCTGGTGAGGAGGTGGTGTCTGATTTACATAGGGAACAAAAGACTGGTTGGAGTAGGTGTGCCATTTGCATAGGGTGCAAATCTCTAGTAGCCCCCACCCTAATCTTTTATTATGCGGGTGGCTTCTCTGCCTAAGCTGCACCATGTGCCCCTTTCTTTATTACTGTACACGTGCTAAGAAAAAAAGAAGATGGAGCCCCCATGTTGGACATGCCTGGCACCCAGCTAGCCCTTTTCTGTTGGCAAAATGAATCTATGGATCCTAAGTCTAGTATCATTATATTAATTTTAAAATAATAATTATTATAAATAAGAATACAGATATGTGATTTTCCTCAAGGAATGCATTTAGGACTGTAAGGACCAGTTTGAGAAAGTGAATTACAATAAAAGGGATAAAAGGAGGAGGACTCTAATACCCTCATTTCCAGCCTGGGTAAGATGTTATTCTGCTGACAGAATCCTTCTATGTAGAATTATACAACTGAATGAGGTGTATAATGTGAGAGAACATGATATCTCAACATTTGACTCATTTAATGTATTATTCTGGGAAAACCCAGAATTACTTGATTTATTGTCTCCAAATATGGGGGAACATATAAGACACTGAGGAAAAATACTTTAGAAAGGTAAGTATGGAACAGAAGAAAGATCAAGCAAAGAGTAGATATTTAGCATACAGCAGCAGAGAAGAGAGACAAACTGAAAAATCAAGTTACAAATGTTAAACAAACAAGCCAAAAAAAACAGCCTGATTGGAACTAGAGAAACAACAAAAGAAATAAAAAAAACCAGAGGACCATTACATTGCTACCAAAAATGATGAGGCAGAAAAATATATTTCTGCTGCTACTGAAGAAGCACAACTTATTCAAGGCTTAGAAAATTCAAAAGTTTAGGCCAGGGAGAGGGTTTTGGTTTTCTGAATAAAGTACTACAGAGGTGTTATTTCTGACTAGTATCCCAAGCACACAGTCTGCTGAAGCACGAAGAGCAGCTTCACTCAGGAATCTACTCAGAATTGTTGTCCTGTCTCAGAACAGACAGGAGAGACATAGTTCACACTTCATGCAACCCGGGAAGTTCAGAGCAGCACAAGCCTTAAAAGGAAAACACAGATATTTAATGTGTCATGTGAGGATGAAAGTCTGCCTCAAGCAATGCTAGGCCCTCATCTCACACCAAGTTAAAAATAAAAAAAACTCAAAATATATTAAAGATTTCAATGTAAAACCTGAAACTGTAAAATTACTAAAAGAAAACATAGGGAAAAATCCTCATATTTTTCTGAGTAATGGTTTTTGGCATATAAACGCGAAAGTACAGTCAGCAAGAGAAAAAACAGACACACGGGATGGTATCAAACTAAAAAGGCTCCTGCACAGCAAAGGAAACAATTAGAGTGAAGAAATAACCTATAGAATGGGAGAAAATATTTGTAAACCATACATTTGATAAGTGATTAATATCCAAAATATATAAGGAACTCAACTCAATACTAAGAAAACAAATAGCTCAATTAAAAAATGGGCAAAAGGCTGGGCATGATGGCTCATTCCTGTCATCCCAGCACTTTGGGAGGCTGAGGCAGGTGGATCACTTGAGGCCAGGAGTTTGAGACCAGCCTGGCCAACATCGCAAAATCTCATCTTTACTAAAAATATAAAAATTAGCTGGGCATGTCAATGCATGTCTGTAGTCCCAGCTACTCGAGAGGCTGAGGCAGGAGAATCACTTGAACCTGGGATTGGAGGTTGCAGTGAACCAAGACCACACCACTGCACTCCAGTCTGGGTGACGGTGTGAGACTCTGTCAAAAAAGAAAAAAAAAAGGCAGAGAACCTGAATAGACATTTTTCAAAAGGAGACATACAAAAGTCCAAGAAGTACGTGAAAAAAAGTGCAATATCACTAATCATTAGGGAAATCCAAAGTAATACCACAATGAGATATCCTCTGACACCTGTTTGAGTGGCTACTATTAAAAAGACAATAATTAAGTGTTGGTGAGGATGCGACGATAAGGGAACCCTTGTACATTGCTGGTGGGGAAATGTAAATTAGTACAGCCACTGTGGAAAACAGTACAGAGGGTTCTCAAAAAAAAATTATAAAATAGAACTATTACATGATTCAACAATCCCACTACTGGCTATATATCCAAAGGAAAGGATATTAAGTTAAACAGATGGCTGCACTCCCATGTTCATTGCAGTATGATTTATGATAGTCAAGGTATGAAAACAAACTAAGTGTCCATCAATGGATGAACAGATTAAAAAAAATGTGGTATATATACAGAATGGAGTACTATTTAGCCTAAGAAAAAGAAATCCTGTCATTTAACATACAACATGGACGAACCTGGAAGACAGTACGGTAAGCGAAATAAACCAGGCACAGAAAGACAAATACAGCATGATCTCACTTGCATGTGGCATCTAACTCATAGATAGTAAAATGGTGGTTACCAAAGGCTGGAGGGTAGGAGACTGGGGAGATATTTGTCAATCAAAACAAAATTTCAATTAGAGAGGAGGAATAAGCTTAAGATATCTGTTACACATCATGGTGACTACAGTTAATAACAATATGTCACATATTTAAAAATTGCTAATAAAGTAGATTCTTTATGTAAATATGTATTTTTCTCATTTATTCCTAATAAATGGACAATTTAGCTAAACCATCCCACTTGAAGAATACCTTCTCACTTCTTTCCATCCAAGTGATTTCAAGAATTAGAATGTAATGCTTAGAGGTTGTAAGCTCTACTCAGAGTAAAAATGCATTCTTATTTGGTTATGCAAAATTCACAGAAAGCTTCAAAGAACTATGGATTCGAATAACAACAGAACCTAGAAAAGGGAAACATAATAGAAATTGCCTGTTATGTAATGATAAGGTGATTCATTGAATTTAGATTTTTCTTGTGGCAAACACAGTCCTCCATCACTTCCTTTCCCTCGCTGTAAGCTGAAAACTGTGTTCTAACTTTTTAAGGAGTGAAAATATATTAAACATTCTATACTGCTGATTTCTATTTATGAAATCACACCCAAAATTAGCAATCAAGAAAGAACAGTAGACTATAAAGTTCATCTTTTTAAAAATACAAAAATATTATAATTTTAAACATCAAGCATATAGATTGTAAATTAATTAATAACTTTGTGTATATGAGGACAAATATATTTAAATCGTACACTAGAGAATGCTTTTTCCTGCGTAAAATACAAACTTTATTTGATATCAAATTAAGCTTCTCTGAATTTTCAAAATAAAATAACAAGGCTATTTCACATCAAATAAAAAGCAAGAATGATCACCCTCACATAAAAAAATACAGAAAAAATATAAGTTGAAGTAGAGGTTCAACAAAAATGACATAAAATCTGACATGAGTGGCCAACATTTTAAATTATCAATAGGAAACTCAATATGATAGATCTCTTAGTAAACTTCAGTTTGAAACAACAATAAGTACTGTTTACCAAAACATAAAACCAATTTTCAGAAAACTATCACTCAATTTGAAAAATGGAATATGGTACCCACGGCAAATAAGAAAAATACACACCATACACTGAATAGAGGGAACAAAAAAGGCAATCAACTTTCATATGAATCAAGAGAACACCAACTTATTAAAACTTCCCATAACAACTTTTGTAAAAACTAGAAACTATGATACATAAATTATAAAAAAAAGCATATCCTATATGATCATGTGTAGAAAACTGTAATTAAAGAGGTTGTTTTTATTAATTGCATAATCTAAAAATATGAGGAAATTTTGGACTATATCTCTAGAAAAGACCACAGAGGTATCATTGAGATACACATTTCTTGAGTTAATGGGCAAAGTTCCTGCTTTCATGAAATATCTGCCTCTTTTCACACAGTGAAACCAAGAAAAATTATATCAAATGAGAAATCTTTTTTCTCTAAATTACTCTTAAGTACTCCAATAATGCAATACTTGGAAAATATAATTTTTAAACACAGACTTGAAATAGATTATTTTTAAAAATACACAAATCTTGTGTCTTGGCACCAGATTTTTCAAAAACTAAATAGTTGTTTAAACCGCAAATAAAAGAAATACTACTATTCTACCTGAAGCTATACATTTAGAACTACGTGGCAATTTCTTGAAAAATAAAATGGAAAGGGTATTTTTACAGTCTCTGGCGTGCTTTCATGAATGTGTCTGGTGCAGAAAAGCATATCCAATGCTTTAGAAAAATAATATAAAAATAAGATTTATGCTCCAGGCAATTTAAGTAAAATCCAAATATTTATTTTTAGATGTGTCATGATATTTTTGATTATTAAGTAGTTGGATACTTGATACAGGTATTTCTGTCTATATCATTCTGTCTGTGAATGATTCTTTCTTTTTAGTGAAGAGTTAAACCCAAATTAAGCAACCATGATTTCTCTTGTATATTAGTAAACTTGTTATATACCTCTTTATTCTTTCAGGCTTTTAAACTGCATAACCTTTTTCAATTTAAAACTTTGTGGTATATTTACCACATATGTATTGTGAATTTTGAATTTTGAATTCAACTTTAGCACCATTTTTGTTGAACCTCTATTTGAACTTATATTTTGTTTGACCCATGTCAAAGAACAGGCTGTTCTTAATACAAATGGCAATCTCAGGCAAATATTTACATACAGGTCTTCACACTATACAAACTGTGTGAACTGAAACCTGAGCTCTCATATGAAAACTGGAGAATAGGAAGGATACTGAAAACAACCAACAGCCTCCAACCTCATTTTCAATGTGCAGATAGTGGATTTAACATCCCACTTTATTAGAGGGTAGGCATGTTGTCTTCTTTCATTTATTAATTTATTATTTTATTTATTTATTTGAGACAGGGTCTCATTCTGTTACCCACGCTGGAGTGCAGTGGTGTGATCATGGCTCAGTGCAGCCTCGACCTCCTGGGCTCAGGTGATCCTCTCACCTCAGCCTCCAGCATAGCTGAGACTACAGGCACAAGTCACCATGCCCAGCTAATTATTTTTTGTATTTTTCTTTAGAGATGGGGTTTTGCTATGTTGCCCAGGCTGGTTTCAAACTCCTCAGCTCAAGCCATTTCCCTGCCTTGGCCTCCCAAAGTGCTGGAACTATAGGTGTAAGCCACCCCACTGCACCTATTCATTTATTATTATCAATTCAACAAATATTTCCTTAGTGTCTATTACATGAAAGTACTGTGCTAGAAACCGGAAATGCACTATTCAGTAAAAATAGATTTTTCTGGATGTCCTGGGATTTAAAGTCTCAGGGAAACTGGGTAAATATGACAGATTTGTATTTTATGATCAAGGACTGTACAGTCTTTTTTTTAATTTTATGTATTTATTTATTTATTTATTTATTTATTTATTTATTTATTTATATTATACTTTAAGTTATAGGGTACATGTGCACATTGTGCAGGTTAGTTACATATGTATACATGTGCCATGCTGGTGCGCTGCACCCACTAACTCATCATCTAGCATTAGGTATATCTCCCAATGCTATCCCTCCCCTCTCCCCCCACCCCACCACAGTCCCCAGAGTGTGATATTCCCCTTCCTGTGTCCATGTGATCTCATTGTTCAATTCCCACCTATGAGTGAGAATATGCGGTGTTTGGCTTTTTGTTCTTGCGATAGTTTACTGAGAATGATGGTTTCCAGTTTCATCCATGTCCCTACAAAGGACATGAACTCATCATTTTTTATGGCTGCATAGTATTCCATGGTGTATATGTGCCACATTTTCTTAATCCAGTCTATCATTGTTGGACATTTGGGTTGGTTCCAAGTCTTTGCTATTGTGAATAATGCCGCAATAAATATACGTGTGCATGTGTCTTTATAGCAGCATGATTTATAGTCATTTGGGTATATACCCAGCAATGGGATGGCTGGGTCAAATGGTATTTCTAGTTCTAGATCCCTGAGGAATCGCCACACTGACTTCCACAATGGTTGAACTAGTTTACAATCCCACCAACAGTGTAAAAGTGTTCCTATTTCTCCACCTCCTCTCCAGCACCTGTTGTTTCCTGACTTTTTAATGATCGCCATTCTAACTGGTGTGAGATGATATCTCATAGTGGTTTTGATTTGCATTTCTCTGATGGCCAGTGATGATGAGCATTTTTTCATGTGTTTTTTGGCTGCATAAATGTCTTCTTTTGAGAAGTGTCTGTTCATGTCCTTCGCCCACTTTTTGATGGGGTTGTTTGTTTTTTTCTTGTAAATTTCTTTGAGTTCATTGTAGATTCTGGATATTAGCCCTTTGTCAGATGAGTAGGTTGCGAAAATTTTCTCCCATGTTGTAGGTTGCCTGTTCACTCTGATGGTAGTTTCTTTTGCTGTGCAGAAGCTCTTTAGTTTAATTAGATCCCATTTGTCAATTTTGGCTTTTGTTGCCATTGCTTTTGGTGTTTTGGACATGAAGTCCTTGCCCACGCCTGTGTCCTGAATGGTAATGCCTAGGTTTTCTTCTAGGGTTTTTATGGTTTTAGGTCTAACGTTTAAATCTTTAATCCATCTTGAATTAATTTTTGTATAAGTTTGCAGACGACATGATTGTTTTTCTAGACTGTACAGTCTTATGTTTGACAGAGAAACAGACAAGCCGTTAAGAATCTTGTAAGTAGCAGTTGTGAAATTGTCAATGAAGAAGATATATAGAGACATATAAACACATTACAGTGGGTCATCTTCTAGAAATGGTTCCTTTGAGAAAGTGGTGTGCATTGAGATCAATCATTAATGACTAGCAATTGTTAATTGGAATCAGAAGATAATCAGCCTTGAAAAAGAAGAAACAGCTGGGGTAACAGCATCAGACAGAAAGAAAAGCATGTTTATTTGAAACTGTAATAAGAGGGTATTAATGAAAATAAGTTTCTGTAATGCCTTATGGGACATGTAAAAATTATGATTTTTATTGCAATCTTATTAAGAAGGAGCTAAGTGATTTAATGGGAAAAAGTATATGATGTATTTTTAAAATTATGTTTTTGTTTATAAAAGATTATGTATGCTGTGGGAAATAAGTTGGGCTGTCAAAAGTATGGTTGTGTAGTCACTGAGAAAACCTGAGTGAGGGACTTAAGTAATTGATGGATGAAAGATGATGGTGTCTTAGAATCAAATGTTTGTAATGGGGAAATATTTTCTATTTCAAGATATTTAGAAAAAAATGACTAGATTGTGTTGTTGATTAATATAGCATGATGACGCCTGAAGTCTAAAATCATTTGTACCTTTTGTCTATTTTGAAATAGGATATTAACCAATTCTCAACTTTCTCTAAGCTTTTAGCTCTCACCTGCTGCACAGTTTGGCACTGTCTAGGAAACTAAAACAGTTTCATAAAATATAGAATATGTTAGACTTGTTCAAGTCATAAATTTGAGTCACTACTGAATTCAGTTTTCCGAAAATTAACTTACCTCAAATTTCTATTTTCTGGCTAAGAATAATCTCATGCTACATAATTTTAGTCTTTCTCCATTTCTAGCCACATAAATAGACTATGACTTTCTCTGCAGGCTAATTTAACAAAAGCATAGGAATTATCACTTCAGGAGAGTCTTTTGCTATACGAAAGTAGAGAACATTAGATATCATGCTGCGTTGTTAGTCTCCCTCACAAGCCCAGTGGTTCATTTCTGCAGATAAAGGTTATAGCAGCAAGCAGAGTTCAGAATTGCACCCCAGAAAAATGATAGATTACACATGTCATGAGCATGGAGAGTTACTAATGAATGATTGTCTTTACCATGGCCTACAAAGCTCTTTTTTTTTTCCTGTTTTTTTACCAACCTGAGTGACCTGTTCTCCTTCCACTGACCTTGCTCAATCTGCTCTTCCTGCTGATTCTTGAACATGCCAAACTTATTTCTGAATTAGAACCCCTGCACCAGCTGTGTCCTTTGCTGAAATTCACTTCTGCCAAATCCTCTACTGTTTTTTTTTCCCTTGCTTTATGCAAGGTTTTATTCAATATTCCTTCTTCATGTCTCCGATCATACTATATTTTTTGGCCACTATTCTCAAGTTCTTCATCTTGTTTATTTTTTATCAATAACACTTGATATTATTGTTTACCTGATAGTATTTTGTATCTTAAAATTTTTTTTGCTTACTTTAGCAGGCTAAATAACCCTCTCTCCCAATACATCATGTCCTAATTGCCGAACCTATTACCTCACACTGTGAAAGGGACTTTGCAAATGTGATTAAGGATTTTGAGATAAGCAGAGTATCCTGGATTATACAGGTGTGTACCATGTCTAACAAGGCAGGAGGATTACAGTGAGTAATAGTAGGTGCAATGATGGAAGGAAAAAATTGAAGTAATTTGAGAATAAAGTCATAAGTTTCCTTTTTCAGCTTCTAAAAGGAATTTCCACCTTGACTTCAGGCTGCTGACCTCCACAACTACAAGAGAATATTTGTATTGGTTTAAGCGAATAACTTTATAGTAGCTTTTTATAGTAGCGGTAAGAAATATAGGAAAGTTTAAACTTTCCCTTTGAATTTTTGATAATTGAGTCACCCTGCAAAAGTAAACTGACAATATACAAATTAGCAGAAGAAAAGGCATACACATTTGTTAACATGCACATGTACATGAGGATCCCACAAATCTGAGACTCAAAGAAGGACTGGATGACTGAGGCTTAAATCCCCTTTTCAGAGGGAAAAGGGAACTCAGAGATTGGGCAATTGTGAGGAGTAGTAAATTATTTTCAGAGAGAATAAATGGGGCCAAAGAGCAGACAGTAGTTAGTAAAGGATTCTCTTTGGAAACTGAGTGGGACTGACAGGAAGGTGAGGGGCAGAACTGCACTGTGAACAAAGGTTATCTTATAATGCAGACAAATTCTCTTAACTAATCTCTCAGAGCCACTGTTAGAAGGACGAATAGATGAAAAGTCTGTCTGGGTGTGGTGATAACTTGTAGTCTCTTCTTTTCTCTGGTGATTAATCTTTTCTGATTATTTAATGAAATTCCTGGCGGCGGGGAGGGGAGGTTAAGACAATTATTTCTTTTGGAAGCATATTTCCTCAGTCAGATCAAGAAAGTTTCAGAGACAGCTTTCCCCTGCACTTGGGAAAGTGGGATGGGGTGGGGTGTTGGGAAGGATACAAGGGAAGGTTAGAAAGTCCTTGGTTTTAAGACAACTTCTAAGGTCTTTAAATTTCCTTGAATTAAAAAGTGCTCAGCAAGTCAAAGCACCATACACTTGACGATGTCTTTCTCTATGCCCCACCAAAAATTAATACTGATAATTTCTACCTACTCCACCAAAATATAAACTTGAGGAGTGTAGGGACTTTATCTTACTTACCACTACATGTTGCTCAAATTAGGTAATTAATAACCATTTCCAAAAGAAATGATTTATATCAAGAATTAAAATAATAAATACAGAGTCTAGGATATACCAAACACACAAGAGAGAAATGCACAGACATACATATACATCACAAACATGCACACACATACACAATTGATACATAGAGTATATTTTTCATATGTGTGAAAACTACTACTCATAGTTAAATATACATATATATTTCAAAAGGAGTTTATCATACCTCTTTTTGTTCTCACAAATATAAAAAGAATGCAGGCAAGATAAGAAAGGTTAATTTAGTATAATAACCATTCTTAGTGAATTGGATGAACCATGTTAATCAAGTAGATATACAGAAAGAAGCTCTTTTGTAACTCAGCTTTTCAGCACTAAGTGGTTCAGCAATAAACAGTGTTTGACTTTTAAGAAGAAACAGTGAATAATCATAATTCAGAGCCGAGTAGAAAAACATATTGTCTCAATATTACTGAATTTAAAGGCTGAATTTTCAGCCTTAGAGGAGACCATGATTACCACTGAGGCCAGTCAGAGCTCAACTAACAATAGTCTACTGCCCTGGCCAGCCACCTACAACGGTATCCTGGCAACCCTGGATGTTTCATTCAAGCCAGAAGCATTATAATAGTCCTACTTTGGATTTAAGAGTGAGATTGTGATGCACAATTTATTTGAAATTAAAATAAAAAGGCCATTATCAAATGTAATTCAGATGCTCATATTAATAATTGGTTTCATCTTGCTAGTTACACACTGCAGTTAACTTTGTGCACTTGTTATATAGACAGGATAATCCTCAGCTTTCCCTTTGCCAAATAAATTCCTTACCTACACTGATGATGCGATTTCCTAGTCTTCCAATGTATTCAGCTATTAAAATAGAATAGCAAATGTTAGAAATTTACATAGAAGCCTATCAGCAGTGTTCATTTTTAGAATTGCTAAGATTCCAAATAGAGATGCTGGGGAGTTGCAATCTGCCATTTTTGTGTTTGAAAGAAAGGCCTACTCATTCAACCAATAGAAATGAGAAACCATGGAGCAATCATTTTCTTTAAATTTCCTGGTCAATATAAAAATGTTATGCATAATTTATGGTAAAAACACTTAAGAACAGTTAAAATCCCTTTGTTTATTTAGTTATAATACTGTATAGCAGGTGGAGATATAACTCAGCACATTTAGCTTAAAGACCTAAGAGATATCAAACTAGAATTTATCTAGACAACATCGCCAAGAAACCTGAATCATAGTATAGTTAATAAGCACTTTAGGAAACATAACATAACAATTAGATCTTGAGCCTGATTTAGCACTTGGCTTGATTTAGGATGTTTCCAACTTTATTCAAGGTTACTTCTAAAAATGAAACCTGTCTCAACTCAGAAACTATCACATAACAACCAAATTACTTATAATTGTAGTAACCAGTTTTATATTTAGTTCTATTTCTTTCTTTAGGTTTAAATATTGGATTTAAATTCCCATGTAGTAAATGCTTTTCCAAATTCAATTCAAACATACATTTAACATTAGAACTCTTTCCGATTTTGTTTTTTTACTTGATTTTTCAGAAAGCACTAATCATTTATAAATTAATTGTTGAACATGTAAGTTTGAATAAACATATTTAAAGACATTTAGCATAATTTCCATTTTATAGTTTAAAAAAAGTGTGAATGATATCGATAGAAATGGTTAAGTATGGACCTTTGAAAATCTTGTTTTATAAAAGCAATAAAGACACTGCCAAACATTCTCAAAATCAACTTATTTTTAGAACTGTACAAATGAACCAGAGACTTGCAACAATCTGGGGAACATTTAATCAAGAAAACCAGAATTGGTAACTCTTGGTAAGAGCAGTAAGGTCTGTCATGTCTTAATGTGTCCTATTTATGTCCTCCTCTCCCCAGTGCCATAGTAGCCTTGAAAACTAGCAGCTCCATAATTATAGTGAAAAACAGAAGTCTATCGACCACTTGAAGTGGCAGAATAGAGCAGTGCTCCCACAAAGTCCCATTCCCAGAAAACAGTCCTCAGGTTACCTATATAATAGTTCCCTGAAAAATTCCACTTGTCAGCCTTATCTTAATTTAAACTGATTCAAAGTTTGTCCAGTACAAACAGTCTTTTTCTGGGAGATGTTTGTTGAAAACTGTATCAATAGCTTAACATAACAACCTTAGGAAGCAGCAAAATGAATTGGGGCAAATCACAAGCTGGTGAAAACAGTTAAAAGGAAAATCTGGAAAATGAGATGACCATATGGGGCTTTGAAAAACTTTGTCACATTCTTGGGAATCTAGGGGGCCACTTACACACATGGGGCTGTATATACACATGGCTGTGCAGATGCTCCCAAAGATTGGAGAAGTCTTTAAGATCTCACTTCTGGCTGACCTTAAGAGTCTACATAAATGATAAAGGGAGATTCAGACATAGAAGTAAACGTGCCTGCTTGAGTACTGCAAGCATGCCCCAAAATGCAAATAGAGCCCCTGAGCAAGGATTATCTGACAAATTGCAATAAGTCAGCAAAGACTTACTGATTCCAAGAATTTAAGATAATTTTGTCCAATTATTAACTGACCACCAAGCAAACAGACCAGAGATTTTAGTAGCCATGCATGACCAAGAATATAGAATTTACAGAACTTGTTCATGAAAGGAATTACATAAATAAACATCAGCAACACCAACAGAAACAACAACATAAAAGCCTGGTAAAGGGGGTAATTTTGTTTCCAAAGTTGCCACTATATTATAATATTAAAGATGTCAAATTTTTAGCCAAAAAATTATAATACAGGCAAAGAGAAATAAGAACGTAAGGCCCATAAAAAGGAAAAGAATGTTGTCAACTAAAATTGTCTCTGAGGAAACTGAGATTACTAGACAAATATTTTAAATACACTATTTTAAATATGTTCAAAGAACTAAAGGAAGCTATGGTAAAGAAAACCAAACATCACATGTTCTCACTCATAGGTGGGAATTGAACAACGAGAACACATGGACACAGGAAGGGGAACATCACACTCCAGGGACTGTTGTGGGGTGGGGGGAGGGGGGAGGGATAACATTAGGAGATATACCTAACGCTAAATGACGAGTTAATGGGTGCAGTACACCAACATGGCACATGTATACATATGTAACAAACCTGCACATTGTGCACATGTACCCTAAAACTTAAAGTATAATAATAACAAAATAAAATTTAAAAAAAAGAAAATCTGAAGTATGAGAACAATGTCTTAATAGAGAATACGAATCAAAAGAAAATGCTAGTAAAAATAATATAGATAATTCTGGAGGTAATAAGAACAACTGAAATAAAAAATTCACCAGAGAGGTTGAAAAGCAGGTTTGACTTGTGTATTAGGGTTCTATAGAGGGACAGAACTAATAGATAGATAGATAGATAGATAGATAGATAGATAGATAGATACATAGATACATAGATAGATAGAGATATAGATACAGATATATATAGATACATAGATATATATAGATATCCTATTTTTTGAGTTTTTTGAGTTTTGAGTTTTTGACTTATAATGTTTTCAACTTAGGATGGTTTTATACATATGTAACCCCATCGTAAATCAAGAAACATAATGAAAATGTATTGCTTTTGCACCATCCTAAAATTGAAAAAATTATAAATTGAACCATTGGAAGCCAGGAACTATCTATATATCATCATATACATGATATGAATTCCACAAGAAGACAGAGTAAGAAAGGGGCAGACAGAATAGTTACAGAAATAATGGCTAAAAAAATCCCCAAAATTGTTTAAAAAATTTATCTGCACATCTAAAAATATCAGCCAACTTCAAATAGAAAAACTCAAAGAGAGCCACAACTAGACATAGCAGAATCAAACAGTTGAAAGTTAAAAGCAAAGAGAAAATTTTGGAAGCAACAAGAGAGCAATGATTCATTATTACACAGAATTCTCTGTAACATCATTAGCTAATTTACTGTCAAAAACTATAAAAATCAGAAGACGTGAGGATGACACTCTGAGGTGCGCATGGAACATTGTTCAGAATAGACCATATATTAGGGCATTAATAAAAGTCTTAATACAATTTTAAAAGAAGGAAATCATGCAAAGTATCTTCTCAACAACAATGGAATAAAATTAGAAATCAGTTACAGAAGGGAATCTGGAAAGTGTATAAATATGTAACAATTAAGCAACATACTTCTAAATAAGCAATAGTTCAAAGATGAAATCACAAGAGAAATTAGAACATATTTTGATATGAATAAAATACAGGCAGGGTATACCTAAACTTATGGATATTGGCTAAAATTGTGTTGAGTGGGAAATGGAATACTGTAATTGTCTATACTAAAATAGAAGAAAGGTTGGAAATCAATAATGTAGGCTTCTATCTTAAGACACTAGAGTAAGAGGAAAAGCTAACCTAAACCACTTAAATAATGGAATGATAAAGATTAGAGTGAAAATTAATGAGAGAGAATAAAAAAATAGGGAAAATTAACAAAAATTAATGGAATAAAATTGAGAGTCCAGAAATAAACTGACACATCTATGGTCAATTGATTTTTTTTTCCTTTTCTTTCAGAGAGTCTCACTCTCTCAGCCAGACTGCAGTGCAGTGGCCTCATCTCAGCTCACTGCAACGCCCGTCTCCTGGGTTCAAGAGATTCTCGTGCCTCAGCCTCCTGAGTAGCAGGGATTACAGGAATATGCCAACACACCCGGCTAATTTTTGTATTTTTAGTAGAGATGGGGTTTCGCCAGGTTGGCCAGGCTGGTCTTCAATTCCTGGCCTCGAGCAATCCACCTGCCTCAGCCTCCCAAAGTGCTCGGATTCCAGGCATGAGCCATCGCACCCAGTGTATGGCCAATTGATATTTGAAAAGGATGTTAATTCCATTCATTGAGAATACATAGTCTCTTTAGTAAATGGCAGTGGGACAACAAAATAGCCACATGCAAAGAATTGAAGATGAACCCCTACCTCATATCATATACTAAAATTAACATAAAATGAATTTAAAACCTACATGCAAGATCTAAAACTTTAAAACTCTTCAAAGGAAACACAGGTTTAAATTTTCATAACCTTGGCTTTGAGGCAACAGTTTCTTAAATATAATATCCGAAGCATAAGCTAAATAAATAAATACATAAAATCATTAGTTAATAAACTGTACTTCAAAATTAAATACTTGTATATCAACAGACACTATTAAGAGAGTGTACATGCAACCTACAGAATGAAAGAAAATATTTATGATTTGTATCTAATAAGATTTTTTATATGTCAGATATATCTGTTACATATAAAAAAACTTACGACTCAGTAATGAATGAAAACTAGCCTACTCAAAATTAGGCAAAAAAATGAGGTATATGTTTTATTTTAAAAGATTAATAAATAGCCAATAAGCAGATGTAACATTTCTCAACATTAGTAGTCATCAAGAAAATGCAAATCAAAACCATAATGAGATACCATTTCACATACCCTAAGATGGCTATTAAAAAAAGGATAGATAATACTCATAACAAGTGTTAGAAAGAATGCAAAGAAAATGAAACCCTTGTAGACTCTGTGTGGGTATTTAAAATGCTGCAATGCTGTGGAAAACAGTGATCATTCCTCAATAAATTAAACAGAATTTTCATATGACTCAGCCAATTCCATTCCTAGGTACACACCCAAAGTACTCAGAACATAGGTACACACACAAAAAAAATGCATATTCTAATGTTCACAGCATCATTATTTAAAATAGCCAAAAACTAGGGACAGCCCAAATATCCAAAACCTGGTGAATGGAAAAACAGGATGTGGTGTATCCATACAATGGATTATTATTCAGCCTTAAAAAGGGATGAGTTATTAATACCTGCTACATGAATAAACCTTGGTAAGTTTATACTTGTTGAAAGAAGCCAGATACAACAAAATATATTTTATATGATTCTATTTATGAAATGCCTAGAACAGGCAAATGCATGGAGACATAAATAAGATGAATGGTTGCCAGAGGATGAGGAGTGGGAAAATTGCTACTGAGTGTTAATAGGTTCCTAATTTCTTTTTAAATGATGAGAATATTCTGTAATTATATACAGTGTGGGTTGCACAAATTTGAGACTATACCCAAACCACTGAATTTTACACTTTGAAGGGTGGAATTTATGGTATGCACATTTTATGTAATTTTTTACAAAGAGACAACTGCTGACTGTGATTATAATCTTTAAAAGCTCACTTACTATTTTATAATAGTAAAATTTATTTTCAAAATTTTATAGATAGAAAAAAAAGAATTTAAGCTCAAAATTACATTCATTAACACAAAGAAGCTAGACACAATACAATTCCTAATCAAGTATTTATTCGCTTTTACAGAGTTCACATTACATAAGAGGAAGACAAAATTTTTGGAGCCAGATAAAATTCGTTTGTGATTATGGTTTGACACCAGAGCAATTAGTCTGACATTTCTATTTCTCAATTTCTTCACCTGTAAAATGGAATCCATTTTATTTGAAAAGTTATTTTTAGATATGGGGCAATACGCTTAATATAATAGCAATATGCAATATAGAGTAGGCTCAAAAATTAGTTGTTTTAATATATTTTTATTATTTTGGGTGTGTTATCAAAATATTTTAATAAATGTGCTTTACTAAATCTTTCCTTGATGGATTAGAAATTTTATATTAATTGATTCTAGCCACTTATATTGAATTAGTTCTATAACACAGCCTGCTACATCTGCTTGTTTGATACTTACAGCCAAAGGGAAATAGGCCATGTTTTCAACTTTATTCTCACAAAATGAAAAGTAATAATACAAGAGGCAATAAAATGTGGTCTATTTCATATTTTAATAGGGATACTTCATAGTAATAAACATAAGTGGTTTGGGGCTTAGGGTGCACTTCTGAAGCACCCAATTAAAATCTAAAATCACTGTACTGCTTTTCTATCCATGAGTTTACAGAGTGCAAATTATATGAGATATGTGCTTTTCTACATTAAAAGTAAGCATTTGATAATCTAAAATATCTGATGTAATACTTATTCTAAGTGACCAAATCTGCATTGTACCTTTTTTTTTTAATAACTAGGGATATGTTTTTCTCAAATACCAGTGACGATTTCTCCAAAATAAATTAGTCAATAAGTAGAGAGCTCAAAGATGACAATAATCCCTTTCTTCTGATTAAATAGCATTATGAATATGCAATATCTTCACTTGGAGATCATGGGAACCCAAAAGGTCATCAAGAGGTAAAGACAGTTGACAACGGATGGATCTATAAAATTTTATGTGAATGTGGGATTGGGCATTTATTATGGAGGTGGTTCATACATTCAATAAGACTACGAAAAAACTTGACATACCACTCTATTTCTCACATTAATGGCATGTACTTCCTGAGTCTACAATATATTTTCATTACCATGTTTACCCATATAGGAGAAACTGACAACAAACATTTTTCAAAAATTTAAGAATAAGTAGAAATATTTTTCTTTCTACATATGCAATATGCATTTCAAGATCCAGTAGTTGTTTAGATTTAATCAAAATTTATAAAGGGTATTAATATTAATCCTTAAATTGCCCACTTGGTAATTCACATTTTTATTCATAAATAACATTATTTTATTTGTGATATGTTTTAAGCTATTATATTCATAATAAATAGACTCATAATGCATAACAAAATATTTATAACTTTTTATAGAGTTATGGGTTTCCAAATTTGCAGTCTGTCAAAGGCAGTCTAATGTACATTCCCAGAGGGACTGCTTTAAAGAAAGCTGGATTGCTGGAAAGTTAAGCTTATTAATGGCAATCATTTTTATTCCAAATTAAGCTACACTGACTGTCTTTATTGAAGGATCAACTCATTGCAACTCAGGCATTACCCTCTGTTGGATGGGAAAACACCGTGTAAAGACATAAATGATCAAAAGGCCTGAGGACCTTAAGCATCCCATTCTAATTGAGGCACCTCAGCCAAACTTCCCTCAAAGATGCTGCATGTTAATGAGGATGTGGAAAAAAATGGAACTTAGACTGCTACAGAAAGCCACAGACACCCCCACTTGGGTGCTAAATGCAAATGCAGGCTGATCTGCATTGCAGAAAATATGTCTCCAATAGACATCAAAGGAAAGTCATATAAAAGATAAAAATCTCACTCTAAAGCACTTTGACACAAGAAGCTGTATGTATGTTTCCAATTTTTAAAACAGAAAAATTGCTAGTAGCTAAAATTCTAAGAAATTAATATCAGATGAGGTTGTTTAGAAGAAGTTAACCTATCATACTTCTTTGAGGTTTTCTCATGCTACTTTTTATTTTTATGTTTCTGTATGTTTACAAAAATAAATCGTGCAAAATAGACATAGAAAAAATGTTCTTTGCTTTATTTTGCTCCTCCAGAAATACTGAAAACCTGCTTTAAATAAGTGGCCCACAAAGAACTGCTAAAATGACTGGGTTTGGCGACATGAAAATTCAGCATTAGGACTCAGGAAATAGGATCTAGGCCTAAAGAAGACTCTATCCACAGGCTGTTCTGAATGTACTTTCGGCAGTAGCTTTCAAAAAAGTCCCAGATATCTGAATGAAAAATAAACTATTCAATCAATCCTATTATATTTTAAAATATTTTGCCTCTGCTTTCTTTTGATAATTAATGCTTCCATTTTATCGAAAGTGTCTTATGTCAGGATGGTCTTATTTTTTAACTTTAGCAAGGAAATTCATATTACTGGAATAAAGAGAAAGACAATAGAGGACACATTTTATGTCCATTAAATCATAGTCAAACACAGTAGAAGTAAATCATTAGTCTTATTTGAGAAATGTTGATTCTTCACAGCAGGGAGGGGTGAACAAACTTATTCACTAGCGAATAAAAAATAGCAAATATTACTTATTTGAAATTTAGGCCCAATTAATTACAAAGCAGATGATCAAATGTTCTCTCTTTCTCTCTCTCCCACCCACATTTACTGTCTTCATGGATAGCTGACATTTAAAATAACACCCTAAGTGGCAATCTCTGGTCATAGTGAAGTAGCAGACAATTCAGAACATTTTAATAGTGTATCAGTAAGCCCCTAGGGAGATGAAAGTTTATTTAAGCCCAGCTAACTGAGAGAAGCATAGAGCTTACAATATCAGCAATTTCAAAATTTGTGTTGTAAAATTTAACCTAGTAGTTTTAATCCAAATGTTATAAAATATAAATTTGGATATTATGGAGAATATATGTGGAGAAAGATATAAGGTATTAACATTGAAATAGTTTTCAATCACTACTATTAAATTTGACTAATTTTAATTTTTAAGTACAGTCTGCATCATCTTAATACTGAAAATTCCATAGCTTTCCACATAGTTCCTTTGAAATTAAAGTCTTTAACATTTGAAAAAAAAAAGAAAAAAATCATTGTAACATGGTTTCATCATTTAACTCTGATCAGTTTTAGTTTTCGCTAGGTTAGGTTTAATATTTTGGTAAGCCTTTGGTATTTTTATTTTGGAGACCTGCAGACCATAGCAAAATACTAAAAATTAAATATCTTTTAACTATATATTTTCTACACACATTTCAAAGGTCTTGGTGATTTGGTTTTTGAAATTCATTAGATACAAGAAATTCATTCAGTTTTTAGTTGACTGTGATTTCTTGGCAATTGTGCATATCTGGAAAAATCCAATCCTAGGACTGAAGAAGAGTACCCAAGAAAGACCAAACCAGAAAGGGGAGACCCTTTTTCAAAGTTGGAATTCAGGCGTCTTCATTGGGAAGGAGCGGTTGCCCACTGTATAGCTGCCAGGGTTAGAGCCGCTGCACCGTCACTGGGAAGGCAGAAAACAAACCTGCCAGAGGACAGGGTACTACACAAAGGGAAGACCACAGGAAGGTGATCAACAGGCCCACTGGAGATGCAAGTTTGTTGCTGGGGGGACTTGTCTTCCAGATGTGTTACTGGAACAAAGTACAACCCAATGTCCTCACACCCGCATTGCTGACCAGCAATGCTGCAATCTGAATCCAAAAGAGAAGTCCCCTCTCCCTGCAGTGTTGAAAGGTTAACAACACACATGTTCACTGTAAATGGGAAATACTTGACAGAATCCCATACATCATTGCAGAGAAAGTACTGAAGTGTGAATGTGGTGCTGAGAGGCAATACACTGATTACTGGAGCAGCTTTTCTCTTCAATTATTTTGGAATCAATCCTACTGATCAGTTGGTCAAGTTTCAAATATATTTGTAGAAAATTTAAAGGCCTTGGATTCAGGATTAATAATAACTATTGTTCAAAGTGGCCTTGGCTCTGTACCTGTGACAAAAGAAAGTCTGAATCTCTAGTAGAGACTTCACAACTGCCATTCCCTCCTGCTACAGTGCCCATTAAATTTTTGTTCTTAGATGTTCTGGTGCAAAAGAAAAATAAGCAGCAAAAGCAAAAGGTGAGGTTCTTCCTATAAAGCTGGTCTCTTGAATTTCAATTGACTTCCTTTTTTCCTTATTCATGAATAGTAAGTTGACATTTATAGCTCTGTTGGGCCTGCCACCATGCTGGGTAATGGGGACAAAATGATGGGGAATATTACCCTAACCTGACAGCTGTACATTTGTGTATTATTCTGTTTTCATGCTGCTAATAAAGACAAATGCAAGACTGGGCAATTTATTAAAAAAAAGTTTTAATTGGACTTATAATTCCTCACGGTTAGGGACTCCTCACAATCATGGCAGAAGGCAAGGAGGAACAAGACACATCTTACGTGGATGGCAACAGGCAAAGAGAGCTTGACCAGAGGAACTCCCATTTTTAAAACCATCAGGTCTTGTGAGACCCATTCATTATCATGAGAACAGCATGGGAAAGATCCACCCCCCTGATTAAATCATCTCCCACCAGGTCCCTCCCACAACAGGGGGGAATTATGGGAGATACAAGATGAGATTTGGGTGGGGACACAGAGTCAAACCATATCAGTTTGCTGCCAGGTTAGGGTAATATTTGGAGTTGACTATTTCAAAAGGCTAAATTTTTCTATTTGTGAAGACAGGAGGGAGATAAACACATAGAGAAAAGTAGAAGAGGAATAGTGATTATGAAAAAGAAAAGCAATCTAACCAAGAATCTGTTTCAAAAATGAAAAAAAGACCTAAATAAACATTTTTTTTCAAAGAAGATATACAAATGCCAATAAGCACATGAAAAGATGCTCACACAACTAATCATTAGGGAAATGTAAATCGGAACTATAACGAGATACCATCTCACACACATTAGGATGGCTATGATTGATAAAACAGAAAGTAACAAGTGTTGATGAGGATATAAAGAAATTAGAACACTTGTGCACTGCTGGTGGAAATGTAAAATCATGCATCTGCTGTAGAAAACAGTACGATGGTTCCTCAAAAAATTAAAAATAGGATTATCATATGATCCAGCAATTCCAATTATGGGTATATACCCAAAAGAATTGAAATCAAGATCTCAAAATGATATTTATACCCATGTTCATAGCAGCATTATCTGCAATTGCTAAAACATGGGAGCCAGCCAAGAGTTCATCAGTAGATGAATGAATAAGCAAAATATGGTATACACATGAATTGAAGCATTATTGAGCCTTAATGAAAGAAGGAAATTTTGACATATGCTGCATGAATGAACCTTGAAGACACTATGCTAAGTGAAATGAGCCAGTCACAAAAGACTATGATTCCACTTATATGAGGTACTTATAGTAGTCATACTCACAGAGACAGACAGTAGAACGGTCGTTACCAGTGGCAGGTGGAAGGGGAAATTTGGAAGTTTTTGTTAATAGGAATACAGTTTCAGTTTTACAAGATTAAAAGAGTTATAGAAATGGATGTTGGTAACGTGACTGTACAACATTTTAATTATACTTAATACAACTAAATTGTATACTTAAACATGGCTAAGATGGCATAAGATGGTAAAGGTTATGCTATGTGTGTTTTCCCTCAATTAAAAAAATACACTGGGAAAAATAAGTAACTTCCTCTAAGTCACACTATAAGAAGTGATGGAGCCGGGATTTAATCAAGGGTACTGTCTTCCACTATCTGTGTAACCTGCACTTGAATTAGAGACTTAGATTTTCAGGTTCCAAACTGAATTATTGTGAGGCATATTCATTTCTACTGGCAAAAAAAGGAGAAAGAATATGTTGAAGACCAGTTGTGTTAAGGAGGTTTAGTTTCAAAGGAAGAGCCCTTTTTTTGGGAGAAACACTCAGTCTTCAAAAGATTTAGATATGTGCCACAGCTCCAAATAATGGACAAGAGTCAGTATGCATTTTCAAACTCTCCTGCTTCTGAAATCACCCCCCATATCTCTTAGCACCAAAATGGGACATTTAAGCATTTGTAGAGAAAAACTGCCATTAATTCAAAAAAGGTTAGACTACCTACTGTTAGTTACAGGGCCACTTAGGGGCTCAGATAGAGAGGTGAGCCAGATTCCTGCCCTTAGAAGGCTTATAGTTTAGGCACTGTTATATTAGAGACAAAGTTGGCACTGTTTATATAGAGACCTTGGTCACAGAGGGAGGAGTTTGTCGATGTGGAACGTTCTTTGCAGCTTCTGATAATTTGAACAACATCCACAATATTGCAAAGCCATTGCACACTTCTTTTCAAATAAATCATGATTTTTTGAAGTATCCATATAACTTCGAATAAGGTGAATTCATCCCCAACTCAAGTATAAATCCTAATTATTCTAAACTGTCATTTCTCAAACTTTATCTTACATAGGAATCATCTGGAAGATGTGTTAAAACAAAAAACTAGACTGCACAGTCCCACCACCAGATTGAGTCAGACCTGAGAATCTGCACTTTTAACAAGTTCCAGATCATGCTGTCGCTGACAAGGGATCACTCTTTGTGAACCACTGACCTCAACTAGTTATGGTAATCTCATTGCTCTTGCGAGTGACTGGTTAGATCACCAGAGTTTGTGTGATTCTGGGCAACGTGAGGGGTCATATGTGAGAGGACTCCTAGGAAAGGTTTCATTGCTGTTAAATGGGACACCTAAGAGGAGAAAAGCATTGTCTTGCTTGTCTGTGTAGCCAGTTTCTTGTAACTATAGGCATCAAAGCCCAAGGGAAATGCCAATAAGGTGAGGACAGTGGAAAATAAAGACAGCACCAACTTGGAAGATACTCTACATTTGGACTTCTTGTTAATTAATATCCTTATTGTTTTAACACAAAGAGTAGGGGGGATGGTGAAATCTCAATGGGATATTTTAAGACCAACTGAGACCAAGAGACAGATTTAGCAATTGCCAGGAAGGAGAAGCTGAGTTGATTAGAGAGGATTTTTCAGAGGAACTGAATAATTCTAGGACACTTTACTGTATGAGAATGTTATTAGGAAAGTTTTAAAATTTTTTATGTTTTTTAATTGTTGAAATTAGTTTAAGGAGAAATACCGCTAGCTCAAGGTCACTCGGGTATACTTCAACTGCTCAGTATTGAGCAGGGAGTAGATAGAGTCATGCAAATAAAGATACAAACAGAAGCATGAAACACTATGAGAGGAGAATGGAAGCCCTGACCTATTAGTAGTCTGGATAATCAGAAAACATTTTCCTGGCAGTTTTATTTAAGCCATGATGAGTTTGGGAGTAAATTGGGAAAAGACATAGGTGAGTCAGGTGGTGATGGGATAGGGGAGATAATTCTAGGATAGGAAATAGCTAGATGCAAGTAAAACATATTTTGAGGATGGAAATTTTATCTTGCAGAATTTTTCCTCAATTCATTTTTACTCTCGCCTCATAAAAGCACAATCTCTACAAGGATGATTATACAATCAATATACAGTTAGTACAATATGGCAGCATCTCTCAGCCCTATAGCTTTACTGATTTTCATCTTAATCTGCCTTTACATATACAATTTATTTTTCTTAGTCATGTGCTTTAAATCTGAAATATTTAAAACTGCATTTTTCACATAGCAAACTAGATTTAAAATGGACTGACAGTCTATGTTCCTCATACTATGTGTCTAATACTTCTAATTTCTTAACTATGCTTTGTTTATCTGTATCTTTAATTCATTTACTTTTTTATGTTAGAGAAGTTTTGTTACTTTTTTATTTTTGAAAATAAGATACTTTATTCCTGCACATTCACTCTCCAGTCCATTTACCTCTTTTATTTTCTACAGGCAGTTATAATTAAAATAATTTATTTAGCATACTAACTTTTGTCAGCTGCCTCTTTACACTAAAATATTAGCTCCATTAAAACAAGGATTCTCTGGTCTTATTCACCACTGTGCCCCCACACTGAAGTAGAGTCCCAGGTCAATAAACATTTGAAGAAAGAAAGATAAAAAGAAAGAGAGAGAAAGAGAAAGAAAGAGAGAAAGGGATAAAGAGAAAGAAAGAAAGAAAAAAGAAAGAAGGAAAGAAAGAAAGAAGAAAAGGAAGAAAAGAAAAAAGAAAGAAAGAAAAGAAAAAGTAAAAGAAAAGAGAAAGAAAGGAAAAGAAAAGAAAAAAGAAAGAAAGAAAATGGAAGAGAAAGAAGGAAACAGAAAGGAAGGAAGGAAGCAGGAAGGCGGGCAGGCTAGCAAATATGAATATTGCATAAAAGATCTAGATGTTATTATCAGCTTGGCTATAAGGAGAGGTAACAATTATGCATGTACACAAATAGGATATTTTTCTTTTAGCTCTTCTGCAAATATACAAACATAAAATTATACATTAAGATTTTTCCTTTGCATTTAAATAAGTGCTCAGTTCTTTAAAGTATTATTTGCACACATTTAAAAGGACAGAATGAAACGGCTAAAAGTTATAAATCAGCCATTATAGGATAAAGTTTACATGAGAAAGGAAATATCTCTTTCCAGTTAAAGGTAGACAATAAAACTTGTTGTGAAATGAGGTTGCTGGTAGACAGATTTATTCATTCCAGTCCATTATTTCAGAGAAGCAGAGCATACTTTAGTGTTTAATCAGATGTCAGAGAAAAGTCATTATACTAAAAGTTTCATACAAAATAAAAATGAATAATTTCAGCTTTTGTTAGGAAATGATTTTTATTGCATTGGCATGTTCCATTTATTTTTATGGTCTGAAAATGGCTTGAACTCAAATTTAAAGCAAATTCCATGAAATAATTATGAAACAATATTGCTAGGAGTAATGGGAAACATAAAATTCTGTGAGGCTCTTAAAACTAACACCAATTATACCACATTCTTGAGTGTGTTACATTTGAATTGAATTGAAAACTTATACAGACATTTGAATCAAAAACTTTTACATGCATTCTTTTGTATGTGTCTGTATAAATTTAAGGTCAGATATTATGACACATAAATATTTGAGCAATATCCTATTTTTTTCTAAGCTAATTATGAATGTAAATATATGTAGGTATTTGCCTTAGTAAAGATGAATGAAAAATGTGCTAAATTTAGAGGGTTTGTAGACCCTTTTTATCTTTCTAAAATTATTTTTATCTTGTGCATTTATTTTCTCATAATTTTTCTTTTGAGAATTTTCTACTAAATAAATTGTTAATAACAACTTGTGTTTTAGAAAAGGCAATCTAAATACAGTTTTATTCTTTCAAAACTATTTTTATAAGTGGATAAATTCTTAAGATTCTACAAAAATGTCCAAACTCCTGACAAAAATCATGCATCAAGAAGTCTTCCCACTTAAGTCCATAATTAAACCTAAACAGAAATTGCCATTATATTTACCAAAATGGCATATCATCTTATTACGTTTAATAAACAATCATTTCAACTTTCAAATTTTTATAATTTTTAAGAAAAAACAATGCAATTTTTCTAAATATAATTTATATGATAATTACTTATAGAAAATAAGTTCCATAATTTCTAATTTTTTTCAATTCTCAGAACTAATAAGTTAAGAGTATTTACTTTGCATTTTACCATTGATAAGTTAGGCTAAATTTTATAATAAAATATAACCAAAACAAATAAAAAACTATTACATTTCATACTATTTTGAAATATGCCTGGAATATATAGAATTTGGAATCCCGTCTCTATTTCCAGGGCACTCAATTCCAGTTTAATAAGTGAACAGATGAACATTTTAAGCATATACATGTCTTCTCCTATAAATGCATCTCTGATCCTTATTTCATAGTGTAGTTCATTTCTCTTTGTATCATCTTTTAAAGGACATTGAATTTATAAAAAACAATGTTACCTAAGCGGATTTTTGTTCGTGAAAATGGATATCTGTACTTGAACTCATTGACCAGGTACATGATAAATAAAAATATGATTGCCTTTGTACAGCACAACTGGCAGTCATGTATTCCACCCAAAAATAAAGTTAGCATGCATATACCATGCATTTTTGTTAAGTAGTGAGGCTTCCTTTAAACACTCATTTACTTTCTCAAATCAGGAACAGGATTAACATTCATGAAGCAAAGGGAAGAGGAATCAAGTGCATCCAAGCATATGTAAGTATTTTTTACTCTATCCACTCCTTTGGGTTATAATATCTTCCCAAATAGAAAGTTGAGCCACAGTTTTTATAATTTTTTTTTTGACATAGTCTTACTCTGTTACCCAGGCTGGAGCCTGGAGGCTGGAGTGCAGTGGTGCAATCTCAGCTCATTGCCACTTCCATCTCCCAGGTTCAAGTGGTTATCATGCCTCAGCCTCCCAAGTAGCTAGCATTACAGACGTGCGCCATCAGGCCTGGCTAATTTTTGTAATTTTAGTGAAGACGGAATTTTGCCATGTTGGCCAGGCCAGTCTCAAACTTCTGACCTAAGTGATCCACATGCTTCAGCTTCCCAAAGTGTGATTACAGGTGTGAGCCACCAGGCTCAGCCATGATTGTTTTTGTTTGAATATTGTATTAATTCTGTAAAACTCCAGAAATTACCACTTTGCAAATGTGCTACTTAGTTGCCTAATGGTAACACTAAAAGTAACATCTAAGGTGGTAATTCTCATCAAAGGCAATTATGGCTCCCAGGGAACATTTGGATATGTCTGGAGACATTTTGGTTCCAATTGGGGGTGCTACTTGTATGTACTGGGTAAAAGCAACGGATGCTGCTAAACATCCTGCATTGCACAAGGTACTACTCCTCACAGCAAAGAAATTTCCAGTTTGAGATGTCAATGATGCTGAGGCTGAGAAATCTTGATCTAAAAGTCTCAATTTAAAAGCCATTTAGTCCACTTAAATATGGACTTATTGTTGGTTCTGATCTACACATTTCTCTACAAGTCCCTAATTTAGAAGCTGAACATTTGTTTTTATAGTTGGCAAAACTCACATTCAAACACAGAAAAAAAATTAGCGTCACCAAATTGTTAAATTAAATTGGTGATTTCTGGTAAAAAGTATCTGAGTAACCACTTTCCTAAAATAGATTGTAAAGGAATAGCACGGAAGTTATCTGAAAATAACAGGCTTTCTGTGTCCTGAAGAAATAAATGTAGCAGGTGAAGAGAAATAAATTTCCATTATTTCATGATTGTATGAGGAAACACCCTCAATGGCATCCTCAAAACCTGGAGTGACTGACACATACCATACAGTTTCAACCAAATTAAAGGAAACTATCAGATGCTAACAGGAATTGCCTTTCAAGAGACCAGAGAGAATTATTGGAAGTATGTTGCGGAAATTTTCATAAACCACAGCAAAACTTTTACTGTAGACTTAAGGCTGGAAAGTCAGAGCTAGAAGGTGTGGAATATTCACCATTATAGATTATCCATCATCCATCCCAACCTCCTTTTTATTGGACCTTCCTTTACTGCAGAGATAGAAAGCAAAGAAACATGCTATTTGAGTTCATTGAAGCTAGGGACCTATGTGTGATTTAGATTTCTTTCATCCGATTTCTTCATGTAGATCTGAATTGGAAAGTGAATTGAAATAAGATAGAGAGAAGAAAGATGAAAGGCATGGAAGGGGAATGAGGAAGAAACAAGGAAGAGGAAGAGAAATAAGGTGAAGAGAGGAGTAAAAGAAGAAGGGAAGGAAAGAGGAGAGGAGAAGAGAAGAAAGAAGAGAAGAAAAGAGATACAAGAGGCAAGGTAGCCCCTTGTCAAGCAAATGTGTGGTGACTCCAGAGCCAACAGTTCTGGTGTTTAGTGCTTGATCTTTAGATTTAAGATTGCAGTTAAAGTGATGGAACACTGTGGCTGCCAGTTGGTGCACCAGCTTTCTGAATCTCAATTTCTGGTATTGGCCAAGTGAAGTGTAAGTAAATTAATGTACTGCATTGTCATGTTACTCAAAGTAGAAAAAATGTCGAAACAATGTAAATGTTCCTCAAGAGTAGATCAGTTAATCAATGTGTATCCATATAATTTATTTATTTTTTTCATTAAAATACTGTAGATCTATGTTCACTGCCAAGGAAGAGTGTGATGGCTCAAACATTCAGGCATTCATTCACTTAATGCATATTTATTGAACACTTTCTGTGAACTTGGTAATATACTTGATCTTGATGGTGACAAAATTGAAATATTTACATCATTATATAAATTATTATTTAGAAATTCATGACATATTAAAATAAAATGTATAAAACTATGAATAAAAATAATCTTGCATTAAAGACATGTACTTGCATATTCATAGAAAAACATCTAGCCTACAGTGGTCATTCAATAAATGGAGACAGTGGAAATATCTGAACTGTATGAATAAAAGTTACTACTTTATATCTTTATATACTGCCTAATTAATATTTTACATCATAATTTTATTGCTTTTATAATCAGAGGAAATAAACTGTTTCCATTTTTAAAATAAAATAATTTAGGCATACGTGGCATACTTATAAATCTTCTTTATTCAGAATATGCTTTTTTGTTCTCAAGTGCAATTCGTCCAATATTGTAATGAATAGTCTTATTTTATATATGATATATGTATCTCATTTTACATATGTGTCATATTTTATAGATATGTTTCTGATGGAATTAATCTGGTATGTCTTCTTAAGTTTCAGTGGAAACACAAGAAATCATCAATTGCAATGCTAAGCATGTTGTAAAATGCCATTTCTTCCAAATAGTAATGATTTATTGAGTATTTACAATGTGCAGGACATGATGCTAATTAATTAACCCTCACTACAACCAAACATATTAGATCCAAAAACTTAGCATCTCTTTACACAATAGGAAACTATCACCCTAGGAGAATAAATACCTTGTCCAGTCTATATGGTTAGTACATGATAGAACATAGATTTGAAAAGAGTCTTATAGAGGCAGTAAGTCCATTTCCAAGATACTGTATCTTTTTATTTATCTATTATTTTTTATTTAACTTGGTACTTTTGTCTTCATAATGATTGTACTGTCTTTCATGTTATAAAAAAAGGTGATAATTTCCTTAGAACATTGTAAATGTTAATTGTCTTAACATTTCAATTTAGAATTTTGTCTTCTCACAGAGTGAAGAGGCATAAATTCACAGTTTATATCTTTTAATGTGTTGGGTTTATAGCCTAAGCTTAGTGGGTTCGGTTTATGATAACATAGTAATTGATAGTGAAATTCATAGCTGGGCATGATGGCACACATGTACAGAGCTGGGCTCTGAAGTCTCACCTACTGAGGAGGCTGAGGCCAGAGGATTGCTCGAGCCCAGGAGTTTGATGCTGCAGTGAGTTATGATCACAGCACTGCACTATATCCTGGTGACAAGAAAGACAGGAAGGGAAAGGGAGAAAAGACATTCTGCTGTCTGCGTTTCAAAAAGCCAGGCAAATATATCTGTTTTGCTTCATTTAGTTTTTCATCATTTCCTTCTTCCATAGAAAAACATGTTTTGAAACCTCTGTTTAGCCACTTAGGTGCAAAACACACTCACACACACACACAAACTATTACACAAATAAAGAGGTGCATTGCAATAACCTCCAAAAGTTATTGTATAACTTTACCAATATGCTGATGTCCTTAAAAAGAATTATTGTTAAGAACAATGAATAGGCTGTGTGAATCTAAAGGAGAATTTAACAAACATTCTGAAATTCTTCAAATTTGTCCTTTCTCTAATATCTAAGTAGACTTCTTGCTTCTAATTATCTCTGCAGTTCTTATGAAGTCATTTCCTTTCAAGGAAAGTTAATGATTGAAAGTTACCATCCTATTAGCCAAGTGATTGATGTTAGATAATTGCATTGTGAAAGATAGCAGCTACAAACAAAAGCCTTCCTATTCTCACCAGTTTAGCACTCTTTCCTAATAAAGAACCAGAATGTGACTTCCCAAATGTTATTATTCACACTTTGTTTTAGAACCGATATACCATATAAGAAAGAATAAAGGTGTCACTGAGATATGAAGAATGCTAGTGTTAAATATGAACGTGGGCATATTTTCCACTAAATTTGGAATAACATTAATATATATTGTTCATCTCTAAGGCAAATGCAACCAGATAAACTTCAACCACAATATACAGAGAAGGGGAATTATTATGAATTTCACAATTAACAAGAAAATGCTTTTCAATACAATTCAAAAAGAGTTCTCTGATTTCTAGAACTATTCAATTCAAGTCATTCAAAACCCCATATGTTAAACTAAGTTTTGTACTAAGCATGTGAAATGCAAAACTCAAGTGATAAAATGTCTGCCCTGAAAGTGTAAATATGCAGTGCAACAAACAAGAGAGAACCAGTGGAATAGGCTGTAGCCCTGTGTGCAAATACCTTCCACAAACTGAGAGTAAAGGAATATCAGAACATCCATAAGGATAAATAGACTTCTGTCAAACTAAGAAGGAAAAATAGCTAATTCCAAGAGAATATATTGCATAAAAAACACGGACATGGTGAAACTACCTGGAGCATTCACATAAATGCTTTAAAATCCAGTGCAGCTCACATGGAGAATGCATGGTGGTGGGAGATAAAACTAAAAGGAGGATTTGGGATACACGTTACTATTTAAATTACCAGCTCCATTTCAGAAAGATAATTCTGGCAGCAATTTGAGGAAGAAATAAGAATAAAGATCGAGGATCATCATCAGGTCTGCCCAGTTGTCTCAGCGGGAGGTGAGAGAGCCTGAGAAAATACAGTGGAGGCTGAATGGGGAGCAGAGGAAGAACCAGAACGGTAACTTCAGCATCAAAGGTGCCCAACTTCATGGAGACTTTTAAGAACATAGGCAAACTTCAGCTTTAAAAAGTGTGTGATGCTTTGAGAACTTGTATTTAATTCACTTAACAACATCTCTATGAGATAGCACCATTCCCGACTTGTAGAAAATATGGTTGAAACCCAGACATCAAAGAGTTTAGTACACAAAGAAGATTCAAATCTAAAACCAATAGCTATATTACTCTGATGCTGTTTTCTAAAAACAGAGTAGTTTTTGTTATATAGCCATACAAAATTCTAGGAGATGCTAGTTTTGCATTTGGATATCTATCTATCTATCCATCCATCTATCTATATCTATATAACTATCTTCCTGTATCAATCCTGTAGAATTTGAGAAATTATTATCTCTTCTTCACAAAATTTCTTTAAAGTAACAGAAATATAGAAAAGAATAATAATACTGACAGTAGGACTTCTGATCTCGTCTCTTTTCTAATTCAGTCCTATTGGCTCTATATGACTCCTTGTCCAATCTAGACACCCATGTTCAGAAACTTCTGGAATGTCCTGACAAACGTATTCTGGTTCCAGCATAAACTACTGCCACTCTAAACTAACATTACCAAAACTATACCCCTTCTTCCACTTCTCATGCTGCAGAGAGTTATTCTGAAGCAACAAAATACAATTTAGACCAGGCCCACTAAAAACATATGATATCTCATCTCAATTATATCTTTGTTATGACTTGGAAATGCTTATACTCATCAATGTATCTAAAACATTTTTGAAGTTAGAATACAAAAAGCATTATTTTAAAGTATTTTCAATTTAATAAGTATTTATTACATCATTACTAAGGTTAATAATGATAAGCTTGCATTTTTCGACTATTTGCCAGTTGTCAAACAGTGTTTGACATGCTTCACATGCATTATCCTATTTAATCCTCAGAGCTAATGCCATACTGCTGTAAGGACTAAAGCAGAAACACAAAGAAAAGAAACACCTCTGACTCAGCCTCCCATACTGAAGCCGTGACTCTAAGTAAGACTTCAGACAACACAACCCAATAACTCAATAGATTCCTTATTATTATTCTTAGTCTGCATCTGGAGCCACAGAGGTTTAGGGGCATTAAACAAATACTTCAAGGTCACAGAGCTAATAGCTGTCAAAACCAGAACTTAAAATAGTTCTACTTGAATCTAAGGTTAATTGTTATTTATATTATACTATTATTATCTTACATTCAAGGTCCCCCAAATCCTTACCATAGTATATAATAAAAAATATGAAATAAAATTGGTTTCAATTTACTGTTATAGTTGTTTAAATAAGAGATAAATATATCAAGATAAACATAAAAATATAGAAGATAACAATACAAGAGGTTTAAGAAAAGCATATTATTAATTAGAGAATGCATATATAATAATATTTATTTTTTAAGTTAAGAGCCAATGGTCAGAATTGTCTACCTCTTCTTTGCATTATCCAAGAAGTCCTTGAAATGATACAGTGGGTTTTACATGTTTTTAAAGTGTAAACTCATAATCTTAGGGAAAACAAGAGTTTCCCAGCAGCAGATTTTATATTTTAAGAAATTATTGGAAAATTAGGAGGTAGGCATGGTATGTTTACTTGACAATAAAGACCAGAGGAAACTACAAATAAAGCCTTATCAGGGAAGCCTGTAGAAATACTCTCAAATGAGAGTGAATTATGCAGAGCAAAAGAGTATCTGCAAGGACTGAGGGCCATCTTTACCACAGTTAAGATCTTTATTCTGAGAAGCTAGGCAGCATAGGCAGTCTTGACTCTCAACCTCCCTCAAACATTTTCTAAACAGAGTAAAGTATCTGCTTAGAGAGAGATCCTACTCAGCAACTAAGGATGAAGATTTACAGGAGTAAAGCTAACTCCAGACCACTACAGGGACTACAGAGGCAGAAACACAAAGAAAAGAAATGCATCTGACTCAGCCTCCCATACTGAAGCAGTGACTCTAAGTAAGACTTCAGACAAGGTGCCACCATAACTCCAGCCAGTTGGATAGAGAACTCCTGTAGTGGGAAGATAAACACTCTCCCTTATTTATAATCACTCAGAGTTTTTAGCCATAACAAGAACACAGGTTCAATAACAAGGAAATATCAATAATCAAATATATTCGGGAAGAAAAAACATTGAATGAACACACATTTCAGAAAAGTAAAGGTTTCACGTAAAGAGGAAGCCCTACAAATGGGCCACATGAAAGTAGCTGAGTTTAAAGAAACTACATGTTCAATAGCCTCAACAGAAATGAACATCTGACAGAAAGGAAAGGTTTCCTTCTTTAAAGAAATTAAAACAATTTATTTTAAAGGGAAACAAAATAAACATGCTGAAGATTGGCTTAAACCAGAATGTCTGACTGAGATTTTCTGCCTGAATGCTAAGCCAATGGCAAAGTGATTGAATGAGAAAGAAATTAAGAAAAATGATGAGATGTATCTACAGGTTTCAAGATCCATATAAAAGAAATTTATAAAATGAGAGTACAGAAAAAATGGATAGAGAAAGATAAAGACACAGTTGAATAAATTTCCCTGAGTTGTAGGAAGGCAGTTTTCAGATTGAAAAGGCTCAGAGGTCTCTCATCAGAAAAAAAAATGAAACAGAAAAACAAAACCAAAAGTACTCAGTATATTTTAATGAGACAAATTTAGATGTATTTTTGTCAAGTGTCAGAATCCAAAAATAAATAGAAAGAAAAAAAACAGAAAATCTTTGTCATAAAGATTTTAATAGCTGCTAAAATATAATGTCTGCAAGGGAATTATTTAATTATTTTAAACCTAACAACCTAAACCAGGAAAAAACTAGTGGTCCAATATGAAGTTTGAACTATATCCCAAAAATTTCTGGTAAAATTAGTAGATGATAAATTGATGAAAACAGAAAAGAAAATCAAAAAGATCTTGTGAAATACAAGACACATTTTGGGGACAAATAAAGAAAAACAAAATTATATCTAAATAACTATTTCTAAAAATGTACATTTAATTAATCAAAATTATACAATAATATTACAGACAAAACAATACTGGGGGTAATTTATGGGAAGGAAAGAATAAAAAAGAGGAATGTTAAATATAGTTTAATATATCAATGAAAAGAGAATTTAAGAAAATGCTTTAAATAAAAAAGAGAAGTATTTTATGTTAATAAAAGTTTAAATCCACCCAAGAGATAGAAAAATAATGAGCATATTTTACATTAAAAAATTTAGCAATGAAATTTATAAAGCAAAAAAAATTAGAAGCACAAGAGAAAATTTAAAATTTTTTATAAATTCTGATTGACTTCAAAAAGCCTCTCACAAAGAATAACAAACCAAGTATTAAATACATGAGTAAAGAAAAATAGCATATGATTAACAAATATATTGGGCAACACAAGAAATCCCAGTGAGTTTCAAAAACTTAAAAATCCTACATAGCACATTACTTAACAAAATGCAATAAATCCACAGTAAAATAACAAAAGGATAGTCCAAAAGTATGTTCACGTATAAATTCACTTATAATTAATTTTTTAAAATAAGCTAGCATAATTTAGAAATCAAAGGCAGATAGAATTTTACCCAATTTATAAAATATAGTCAAAGATGTTCTCAGGTAAAATAAATAATAAGCCAAAATTAATAGAATTTAAAATAAAAGTATAGGTTTGATCTCTAAAATAGTTTAAATACAACCTTATTTGGGCTAGCAAAGATAATTTAGAAAATTTAGTAAAGATATAAATATCAAATATTACCAGGAATGTGAATGAATAAATGAATGAATTTAGTGGGCATAAAGCAATTATATATAAATACATTTTAAAAATCTAGATATAGCACATTAATTCCTAGCAATATGTAAAGCATAAGAATTTATCTAGAAGTAGAAAACCTGGCTAGACTAATAAGTATAAAAGAAATTGAATAAGCCTTCAAAGATAAAGCCAAGACTTTTTATTAATATGATCTAGAAAAGAATACAGAATATGCCTAACATTAAAAATGAGATTCGAGTCCTGATATGTCACACTAAAAGTGCATTGTCTTAAACATTATACAAAATAATAGTAATATGATATAATAACATCAAACACTTTAAAACTACATTTAAACCAGTATGAGCTAATATGGCTTGATATAAGATAAGAAATGACCAATTTTCCCATATATTGGCCAAATTTCAATTAAAAAATATAATTAGAAGGTCCCTCAGAAAACTAAAAATGGAGCTACCATATGCTCCAGCAATCCTACTCCTAGGTATATACCCAAATGGAAGGAAATTAGTATATCAAAGAGATATCCGCACTCCCATGTTTGTTGCAGCACTGTTCATAATAGCCAAACTTTGGAAGCAACCTCAGTGCCCATCAATAGATAAATGAATAAAGAAAATTTGGTACTTATAAACAATGGAGTACTATTCAGCCATACAAAAGAATGAGATACTGTCATTTGCAACAACACGAATGGAATTGGACGTCTTTCTACAAAGTGAAATAAACCAGACACAGAAAGACAAACATCGTATGTCATCACATACTTGTGGGATTTAAAAATCAAAGCAATTGAACCTATAGAGATAAAGAGCAGAAGGAGGGTTACCAGAGGCTGGGAAAGGTAGTCGGGTGGGTGGGGAGGAAGTGGAGATGGTTAATAGGTACAAAATAACAGGCACAATGAACAACACCTAGTATTTGATAGCACAACAGGGGCAATACAGCCAATAATAACTTAATTGTACATTTAAAAATAACTAGAAGATTATAACTGGATTGCTTGTAACACAAAGGATAAATGCTTGAGGGGATGGGCACCTCATTGCACATCATGTGATTATTACACATTGTACACCTGTATCAAAACATCTCATGTATCCCATAAACGTATACACTTAATATGTATTCACAAAAGTTAAAATTAAAAATTAAAAAATATATGTAATTAAAAGAAAACGTTCAACTAAACAGTGAAAATGCTATAATATATAAGAATCAACATGAAGAATTTGAGGCATATATCATTTTTCAATCATCATAGGAGAAAAGGAAAAATATTGATTATATCTACTGTTGATAGTGTGTGAGAAAATGCATATCATCACACAGTTTTGGTGAGAGTGTGAAATTGTCCATCTTTTTTGAAAGGGACTTAGGATTGTCTATGCAAATGAAAAATGCATACATTTTGCTTTGGCAGTTTAACTTCTGTGTGTGTGTATATATGTGTATAGAAAGAGATTCACAACATCATGGATTATAATGAAATATATGGAAACACAGTCTGTTCAATAAACTGTGATACATTATGATAAATAAAAACAGAGCTATAGCCACAATATTAAATGAAAAAAAGTAAGTTTCTTAATACTAGATGTAGTATGATCCATTTATGTAAGCTCACATTGAGGTGCACTGAGCCCTCGGTTTATGCCTCATAATAAATATGTCTGTAGAAAGATTATCATTCTTGCTAGTTTAGTAATATACCTGAAATATGTACTTTACTGTTGTTTCTAATGGTCACATGTAAAACTGAAGGATTTCAGACAATCCAAGAGCTTTTTTTTCAATTTATGTGCAAAGGCTACTAGAAATTACACTCACTGAAATTAATTTCTAAGATATTTTTCCACTTTGGCTCTAACAGTAAAAGTTTGTCACTAGACTTATTCTATTACTCAGTGTTTACTGACTATTATGAGCATACTAACATTATAAGCGCAGATTTTGTGCCAAACCTATGATGGACTTTCATTTGGTTGAATCACAAAATGAAACAAACACTTCTCTGATTTTAGTATGTGCTAATAAATCTCTAGATTGTTTTGCTCTCTGATCTTGTAATAAGCTGTTAATGTAGCAACCGAATATTTTGACTTTCTTCTGAGACAAAAGAGAAAACAAATAAATGACAGAAATTTTCTGCTTAACAGTGTGTTTATTGCTTTTCATTCAGTGTGTCATAAGATACATTTTCGGGAGAATGAAATTCTACAGAAATCGCTTCTCTTTATATCATATAAGTTAAAGAATTCAAAAACTGCATTAACAAGCAACAAAAATTGTAAGCCTGTTTGATACTATCATAGTTTATAAATATACACTATATCCAATAGCATATTTATTCAAATTATTGTTTTATTGGGGATTTGGGATATAGTTGGATAGCTCAGAAGAGAGTCTGGGCAATTTGTAGGCATTGGATTTGAGAAAAACCTAGTGAAAGTTATTGTTAACAGGATAGAAATTCAATAGTTCCCCCTTTTCTGGGTTTCTCTGGAAGATAAATTGACATCAGGAAACTTTGAAAACAATTTTATGTAGAATATAGCTGTCTGGTACCCCATTGTGGTGTTATAGTCTACAACGGTTTAAAACATATAGTTTAAATGAGTGACTAAATAAATGTTTTCCTAAATTAATAAATAAATAAATTGATGACCAGGAACACAGGAAAAGAAATACCTTACCTTTGAGTACATATAAATGTAATACAAGAATTACTTAGAAAAATTCATTGCATTTAATACACTAAATAGGGTATTGAACATCAGGACTTTCTTGAGTCACATTAGTCTTCTCAGATACACAGGGTAGATTTCTAAACTTCTGTTTTCCTACCATTTCAACTAAAAAGTCATCCAGGAAATCTGTAATCTGAATCTTTATGATGTGAATTATATCTAATAAAACTTTTTACAAATGTCTTGTGATATTGCCCTAATTCTGACCCTTTACATTCTGTCTTCATGATTACAATAGTTTCTGATCTCATCTTCCCACTCTATTTAAATTTTCAAGTGTATCCTTTTCCTTACTAAGTAGCATATTCATAGAAGACAATGCCTATCATGTCACACCTGTCTTTAAGATCATCTCCTACCTCCACACAGTAACATTCTTACCATGGCAAACACAACTGCCATTATGTTGACATTAACTGACCTTTTGATGGTCTTTTTTGAAAACCAAGGTCCTCATGAAACCTGCATTAAAATTACAGTAAACAAAGAATCTACCATGTCATTTTATTACTAACATTTTTCTAACCTTGTATCTTTTTCCAATAATATCCATCATTTACTCATTAATTCAACATGAATATGATAACTGCACTAGGCTAGGCACTATATTTGGTATTAAAGACATTAAATATTAGGTTAGGTCTCTACTATAAAATAAACATGATCAAATAAGAGAGAAAAACAAATAAACCAAAAACAATAATGCAATACAATGCTTCTATATTTTTTCCTTCCAAACTTAGTAAAATTTATTATGCAATAAAAACTTTCTTGAAATTTTATGTGGAAATGAAACTCTTTTCCTTTTTCTGCTATACCATGTTATTTGTCTCTATTAAGGTATCTATTTAATTCTCCTTTGCAATATACTTGGTTCATTCATTTAAGTGAATATTTCACAGTGTAGTGTTTCCTAGATGTTTCCTGTGTGCCCCCTACTGGCTCATCAATTCTTTTAGGATAAATCATATGTCTTGTTTTCATTTCATCGTGTTTAGAAAAAGTATAATATTCTATTTTCAGATTTAAAAAGTAAATAAATCATGTAAGTATACACTGGAAGATGGCGTGATTATAAGAAGACTATTAGTCATAAAAGTGTATGTCTCTAATAAGAGTTAATTTGAAGTTAAGTTGCCTTGCGACAAACGCATGCCCAGAAAAATCCAGTGCTGCCCACACATTGCTCTAAGTAAGAATGTACCTAATGCATTATGCTTAGTTTGAACTTCGCAATTTAAGGATCAAATTGAAATAAAAAAAAAGTGTGTGCAAAGATATATAAATAGAATGATAAAGCTTTGGAATATTAGGATATGGGAGAAGAGTTGGAAAGTTAGAGAAATGAAAAATGCTTACCTGTAGAAAAAGAAGCATGATGGGAAGGGAATGGATTGCCATCTTTAAATTTCATATATCTCTCCAGACAGCAAATCTACAATGAATGCAAAATACATAATGAAAAGGTAGTCAGATTTTTATTTTAATCTGCTGAGTGTCATGTAGAGGCTAAACACTGAATTGGAATACCTTAATTGCAATATTGAAGTAGAAGTAGGATATTGAACTAGATTATTTCTAAGACACTTTTCAAGTCATGAGTCTAAGATAATTTAAATATTTAGCTACAGCTCAATTTTCCATTGTCCTTTTATTTTAGGATTTCATTGTTTTTATTTTAGCTAGAAAGAATGGTAAATATATTTTTGTGTTAAATAGTTGTTTTAAGTAGTGTTTTCAAATGTACATTAATGGAGCATAGATTTTTCAGAGGTAAAAAAGTTTTCTAATAAATTAATGAGTCACTAAAATGTATGAATGCCTACAAGGTGTTCATCAATTATATAATCAATCATAATCGAAGGTGCACTTTGGTTTCACATATAAGTTTCCTTCCTAATATAAGCATTGGTCTAATTGTGGAGATGGGATATATTTAACATAGCTAAATAATAAATCTATGCACAATAGCAAATACTTCACATGTTTGATTTTTTGCCATTTTCCCACTTTTAACAACAACATTTATCATATTTATATAATATCAAGAAAAGTACTATTTTAAAAACAGGATTACAAAACTCTACAAAATTTATTTTTGTATATGATGTGACATTAATATATTTGGTGGAGAGAATGAATAGGAAGACTTAGAGGAAAGAAAAAACACAAGTAACGAGAGAAGCAACATGATAAAGACATCTGTAAAGGAACAGTCAATGACACGTGTTCCAAAAATCAATAGAAGAAGCAGTCCATTGAGTGACTCCAATAATTACCTTGGGCAACATAACCATGTTCAATCTGAATTTTCTTATCTTTGTAGGCAAGACATTGGCACAGATTATCCGAAATGTCCCTTTGAACCCTAAACATATAATTCTACAAAATTATCTCTGCTTTCACCATCAAGTAAAATACATTTTAAATGCTTTGCAAAGAAGGCAGGCTTTCCTCTTATGAAAGGAAAAATACATCACTGTTATAGCTTTGGGGATATCTTGTCAACTTTGTTTTCCAGTTTTGAGATTTTTTTCATAATAGCTTCTCCTTTATTTTAACAGTTATTAACGTTTCTGCCCTAAAAATCCGGGTGTTTCTAGAAAGCTAATCATTATCAGACCTTCCTTTGTTGCTTGTTTTTTATTTTTTTATTTTAAGTTCCAGGATACATGTGCAGAAAGTGTAGTTTTGTTACATAGGTATACATGTGCCACGGTGGTTCGCTACACCTATCAACCTGTCATCTAGGTTTTAAACCCCACATACATTAGGTATTTGTCCTAATGCTCTCCCGTCCCTTGCCTCCCACCCCCTCAGACAGGCCCTGGTGTGTGATGTTCCCCTACCTGTGTCCATGTGTTCTCATTGTTCAACTCCCACTTATGAGTGAGAACACGCGGTGTTTGGTTTTCTATTCCTGTGTTAGTTTGCTGAGTATGATGGCTCCCAGCTTCATCTATGTCCCTGCAAAGGACATTATCTCATTATTTTTTATGGCAGCATGATATTCCATGGTGTAAAAGAAACTATTATCAGAGTGAACAGGCAACCTACAGAATGGGAGAAAATGTTTGCCATCTATCCATCTGACAAAGGTCAAATATCTGTAATCTACAAGGAACTTAACAAAATTTACAAGAAAAAAACAAACAACACCATCAAAAAGTGGGAGAAGGATATAAACAGATGGTTCTCAAAACAAAACATTTATGTGGCAACAAACGTGAAAAAAAGCTCATCGTCACTGGTCATTAGAGAAATGCAAATCAAAACCACAGTGAGATACCATCTCATGCCAGTCAGAAAGGTGATTATTAAAGTCAGGAAACAATAGATGCTGGCAAGGCTACGGAGAAATAGGGACGCTTTTACACATTTGTGGGAGTGTAAATTAGTTCAACTACTGTGGAAGACAGTGTGGCGATTCCTCAAGGATCTAGAACCAGAAATACCATTTGACCCAGCAATTCCATTACCGGGTATATACCCAAAGGATTATAAAACATTCTACTATAAAGACACATGCACACGTATGTTTATTGAAGCACTGTTTATAATAGCAAAGACTTGGAACCAACCCAAATGCCCATCAATGATAGAACAAGTTTTGAGATTATATGTTACCTTTATTTCTGGCCTTTCCATTGTTCATTTCTCAGTCATTTCATTGCTTATTAACAACAGAGGGCTTGAAGGGAATAGACCCTGTTGTAAAGTGAAATCAGAAAATGCTGCTATTTGGTCCTTTTAAAACCATAAGAGTATGAAACAGATTAAAATGAGATCTATGAACTAATCATGGTGGATTAATAAGATTTGGCTATGAAGACTGCAGAGCATCTTGGTGAAAATTTCCTTCTCAATACCTAACAATAATGTCACAAAAAACTTTGAAATATAAACATAATTATATAATTCTTGATGCATTTAGTCATTAGAATTTTACCTAATAGGGGGTTGGGTACAGTGGCTCATGCCTGTAATCCCGGCACTTTGGGAGGCCGAGGTGGGCAGATCACAAGGTCAGGAGGTCAAGACCATCCTGGCTAACACGGTGAAACCCCATCTCTACTAAAAATACAAAAATTAGCCGGGCGTGATGGCAGGTGCCTGTAATCCCAGCTACTCGGGAGGCTGAGGTAGGAGAATCGCTTGAACCCAGGAAGCAGAGGTTGCAGTGAGCCGAGATCGTGACATTGCACTCCAGCTTGGGTGACAGAGTGAGACTCCATCTCAAAAAAAAAAGAATTTTGCCTAATAGGAATTTAGTGTTGGTCCCTAAGGAAAGCCATGCATTTAAAGACTGATTGTAATTGAATCCCTAAACTTGAAACAAAGTAAGCAAATGATAAAAGAATTCATTCTAAGAAAATATGACTTTATCTGATTGTGATATAATATAGAGACATATTACCTAAATATGCAGACATATGATGTATGTATTCATAAGTCCTATTAGTATTTATAATACAATTATATTTGAGTACCATAGTAACAAACACAGACATGAATAAAATATGCCAATTTGATTTATAGGCTTATACATAGAGTAAGTCATAATATAATTTTTGAATAGATCTTTGCTTTGTATGAGGTAAGATTTGGATTGGTAAAACATTTTGTGTTCATATAATTTGAATGCTCATTAATGACAGTTCAAGAATTATAAAAATATTAATATTTTCTAAATGGAACATCATAAAAATTGTCTAATGATCTTTGTATGGCACCATTAGCATCTAAAATATGTGTGTGTATATAGAAAACACTTTTTAAATTATACCTTAAGTTCTGGGATACATGTGCAAACTGTGCAGGTTTGTTACATAGGTATACACGTGCCACAGTGGTTTGCTGCACCCATGAACCCGTCATCTACATTAGGTATTCCTCCTAATGCTATCCCTCCCCTATCCCCCCACTCCCCAACAGGCCAGTATGTGATGTTTCCCTCCCTGTGTGCGTGTGTTCTCATTGTGCAACTCTCACTTATGAGTGAGAATATGTGGTGTTTGGTTTTCTGTCCCTTTGTTAGTTTGCTGAGAATGATGGTTTCCAGCTTCACCCATGTTGCTGCCAAGGACATGAACTCATCCTTTTTTACAGCTGCATAGTATTCCATGGTGTATATGTGCCACATTTTCTTTATTCAGTCTATCATTGATGGGCATTTGGGTTGATTCCAAGTCTTTGCAATTGTGAACAGTGCTGCAATAAACATACGTGTGCATGTGTCTTTATAGAAGAATGATTTCTAATCCTTTGGGTATATACCCAGTAATGGAATTGCTGGGTCAAATGGTATTTCTAGTTCTAGATCCTTGAGGAATTGCCACACTGTCTTCCACAATGGTTGCACAAATTTACACTCCCAACAGTGTAAATGCATTCCTATTTCTCCACCGCCTCTCCAGCAACTTTTGTTTCCTGACTTTTTAATGATTGCCATTCTAACTGGCCTGAGATGGTATGTCATTGTGGTTTTGATTTGCATTCCTCTAATGACAAGTGAGGAGCTTTTTTTCATGTTTGTTGGCTCCATAAATGTCTTCGTTTGAGAAGTGTTTATTCATATCCTTTGCCCAATTTTTGATGTTTTTTTTTTCTTGTAAATCATTATTGGTGTGTAGAAACACTACTGGTTTTGATTTTGCTACCTGCCATTTTACTAAATTCATTTATCAAATTCAAAAGAATTTGGTGGAGTCTTTAGGTTCTTTCAAATATAAAATCATGTCATTAGCAAACAGGAATAATTTGACTTCCACTTTTCCAATTTAGATCCCTTTTATTTTTGTATTTTTCTTACCTAATTGCTCTAGCTAGGACTTCCAGTACTATGCTGAATTGTAATGGTGAAAGTGAGCATCCTTGTCTTGTTCCACTTCTTTCCAAGAATGCTCTTGACTTTTCCCTATTCAGCATGGTGTTGGCTGTGGGCTTGTTGAATATGGCCTTAGTTATTCTAAGATTTGCGCCTTCTATGCCAAGTTTGTTGAGAGTTTTTATCATGAAGGGATGATGAATTCTATCAAATACTTTTTCTGCATCTATTGAGGTGACTATATGGTTTTGTCTTTCATTCTGTTTATATGATGTATCACATTTCTTGGTTTGCAGATGTGGAACTCTCCTTACATGTCTAGTATAAAGCCCACTTAATTATGGTGTATTATCTTTTTGATATGCTGTTGGATTTGGATTGCTCATATTTTGTTGAGGATAGTTGCATCTGTGTTTATCAGTGATATTGATCTGTAGATTTCTTTTTTTATCATGCCCTTTTCTAGTTTTCATATAATGATGTTACTGGCCTCGTGGCATTAGCTAGGGAGAATTTCCTTCTATTTTTGGAACAAGATTCTTAACTACAACTAAGCTATGCGGGCCTATCAAGAATGAATTCAAGTTCGAGACATCATTAAGAAGAGGGCTCAGAGGACTAAAGTTTGGTGAAGGAGAGAGTCTGTCAGTGTCTGGATTTTAGAAATGTGTTATAAGCCTGATCATTACTCTTTTATTTTGATTTTATATGTACAGTATTATATTGCTGTAAACACTGCCTTCTACATTCTAAAATTTCTGAAACAGGGTTGCAGCTAAATATTGAAGTGTACTTTTAATGTTACAGTCTTTCTTTTTCTGGAAAAAATATCATAATACACGAACAAAACAAAATATTCTTAAAATTTTTTAAATGATACTTATTCAGTATCATAAAATTCTTCCCTATTGAAAATGTAAAAAAACTTAGAAATGTTAAAGCTGATTATCACATATAAAAAATAAGAGATTTGCCTACTAAACAAAGCAATCTTTAATATAAATTCAAGATTACATTTTTTTTTTCTATCGAGTGGGTATGGTAAACACAGTAAGTAGTTAAGAATACTGTCTTTAGAGCCATAAGATGAAGTTTTAAATTCTTCATCTGATGAGTGCCTCTTAGAGGATGTAAGCACCATCTTGGAAAAATGCCCCAACCATTTTAAGTATCAAATGTAATATAAGGATAATATATTATTTCTAGGATTGTGGTTAAAATTGAACATAATATCTTTTGAAAAACAGTATAGCATTTCATTAATACTAAAACCTCAATATATGTTTAATTATTAAGATCAATCTGTGATGGTATTATTTGACCATGAATAAAAATGTACTTTAAACGTCTAAAGGATCATTGTAATATATAGATCATTGTAATATAGATGTTTACCAATACTTCATGTTTGCATCTATGGAAAAGAAATAGATAAGTTTATCTGACTGCAGAAATAGTAGAATTCATCAAGAAGTGATTAAACATTGAAAGACACACTTCCCATCAACTCTTCCTCCAGAAGCTATTTACGTCAAAATATATCTCTCTGTCCAGAAACATTTATGTCTATGCATTTTCAGATAATTGCCTGAACCCGTACTTTGAATTTTCTTTCTACGAAGTGTGCAATGTATATGGTCCCTGGTGAAGCTGTGATGACTGTGAGTGAGAATGAGAATCCGGTACCACCAGAAACTGGTCTGTATGCTATACTGTAGAGGACAAAGTTGGCTGCTAAATAAAGAAGCATACAAAAAATTAAAAATTAAAACCAATCGAAAGGAGCTAAGGCAAGCTCTGCAACTAGCAACTAAAAATAACTTCTAAAGAAGGTGAGGGCTGGGAAAATCCGCTGAGACAATGTTACAAATCTAGATTTGAAGTAGAGAGACTTTATAAAATGCCAGTGGAAGAGCTCTTGGTTAGATAGAAGGCTGTTATGGACTCTGAACTAGTCAGACAAGTTAAACAAGTGTTAGTCTTAGGAAAAGGGTATAATAATTATAACTACAAGGTATTGAAAAATGTTTCACTCATCATTGAACAAGAAATACCTTAAAAAACAGGACACAGCTGTAATGTTAAACTTTGTTCTTTCTCTAGGAAGAAAATAAAATGAAATGCATTAAGGGGATGCATGTGTGACTTCAGCGAACAATTTCAGCAGAAAAACTTGCCTGATATTAGCCAACAAGACTGGAAATTAAGAAGGAGGCATCATCCGGTTTCGGTGGCTCATGCCTGTAATCCCAGCACTTTGGGAAGCTGAGGTGGATCACGAGGTCAGGAGATCGAGACCATTCTGGCTAACACGGTGAAACCCCGTTTCTACTAAAAAAACAAAAAAATTAGCCAGGCGTGGTGGCGGGCGCCTGTAGTCCCAGCTACTCCGGAGACTGAGGCAGGAAAATGGCGAGAACGCGGGAGGCGGAGCTTGCAGTGAGCCAAGATGGCGCCACTCCACTCCAGCCTGGGTGATCGAGCGAGACTCTGTATCTAGAAAAAAGAAAAAAAAAAAGAAAAAATGAAGAAGAAGGAGAAGGAAAAGGAGAAGACGACGACATTGAGGCCAGGTGCAGTGGCTCACGCCTGTAATTCCAGCACTTTGGGAGGCCGAGGTGGGTGGATCACCTAAGGTCAGGAGTTTAAGACCAGCCTTGCCAACATGGCAAAACCCTGTCTCTACTAAAAATACAACAAATTAGCCGGGCATGGAGGCACCCGCCTGTACTGAGGAGCTACTCAGGGGGCTGAGGCAGGAGAATCGCTTGAACGCAGGAGATAGGGGTTGCCGTGAGCCGAGATCACGCCAGTGCACTCCAGCCTGGGTGACAGAGTGAGACTCCGTCTCAAAAAAAAAAGGCATTGAATTTGCTTAAGTAAATTTACAATTTATAATAATTTATGGTATGCTTTTGGCTTAAAAGAAGTGAGGTTCGTTTGGTTTGGGTTTTAAAATTTCAATTGTGTGTCAAATTATGTGCATGCCAATACTTTTTCTTTGTTCATAAATTACATTCTTAATGCATGGGCTTCTCGCTTTAACTTTACCCCTCTGGCTCATGTTAATGCGGATTCCTAATTTTCCACTTCCATTAATTTTAGTAGCTACATATATCATGACACAGTTCCCACTACCTCTTTATTTATTTCACTTCCCAATGCACCCTTCATAAGCACTTGCCTGTCTTCCCTTCTTCTATGGGGTCCTTGAACATAATTTTCTCAATCAAGCATGTTCTTAACAAACTAACAAGATACATTTTCATTTGTTTGATATACTTTGCTTATTTTGTTTTGGTTTTCCCAGATAATTTCTGCTTCAGGCCTCACTACACAGACCAGCCTGAGGCAAAGGTAAACAAATTAATGTGAAAAAGGAAAGGAAAAAATACATGGAAAACAGAATACAAATCAGCATTTCAGCACATTATCCTGGCCTTCTTGTTTGCTTTGGTATCTGAAAGGAAAATTTCTTATTTCTTCTCTGATCAACTATTACTCTCACTACTTCACTTCTGATACCAAATGTGTGAGCTTTTTCTAAAAAATTCAACTTAATCCTCTGGCAAACACCAACTGGGTGTCCTATGGTTTAATTAAATTCTAAAACTAACCAGAGTTAGCACAGACCCCACAGGCAGGTTAAGAACTCAGTCTTAGAAGACTGGCTTCTATTTCCAATGTCAGTCACAAGTCTAAGTTGTCACCTGTGCTTCTGATTGACTGGGGCCCCTATAAATTGGAGGTTCTCATAAACCCCTCCCCAGGCACAATAATTTGCAAGTATGGCTCCCAGAGGTCTGGAAAACAATTTATTCACTAGATTACCAGTTTACTATAAAAGGGTACAACTGAGGAACAGCCAGCCAGGAGAGATGCATAGGTATCTTGAAGAGAACTTTCATGCTTTCTCAGGTGCACCATCCTTTCATGACCTCCATGTTTTCACCAACCTGGAAACTCTTAAAGCTCATCCTTTGGGGTTTATATGGAGGCTTCATTAAGTAGGCATGATCAATTACACCATTGGCCATTGGTGGTTCAATCAATCTCTAGCCATTCTTCTCTCCCTGAGGTGAGTGTGGAATGGGGATGAAGGTTCCAACCACCTAATCACATAGTTGCTTCTCCTCTCAACCAGCTAACCATCTTTGGGGGCTTTCCATAAATGGCCTCATTAACATAAACTTAGGTCAATTGAAAGGGTCTTGTTATGAAGAACATAACAATTCTCCTTTTATCTTTATCACTTTTATCACTTAGGAAATTCCAAGAGTTTCAGGAGCTCTGGGCCACAAATGGGACAAAAACCAAATACATGTTTCTTATTATAAATCACAATATCACAGTCTTATTTAAAGTAGGGTGACAGCTTTGACTCAAATTAGCAAAGCCTTTCCTTAGGACCTAGTGGGCCCTTTTGATCCAAAAGGTTTCTACTTTCTATTTGATTGTTGGCATTACTTCATGTGATCCCTTTACCTTCTGCATTCATATTATACATATATTAGGTCAATGATGAGTGATCTTCACATTTCCTTTTCTTTTCATCATCAGAAATCTTACTGGCCTGTTTCAGTTTTTAGCGGATTTCTTGAGATAAACTTTTACTTCACTGAATCAATTTTACTCTTTTCTGCTACTTAATAGCTCCCATTAAAATACTAAATATTTTAATATTTTTAAATATTTGTTTATTTATTTTTGAGATGGAGTCTCTCTCTGTCACCCAGGCTGGAGTGCAGTGGTGGGATCTTGGCTCACTGCAAACTCCGCCTCCCAAGTCCAAGAGATTCTCCTGCCTCAGCCTCCGGAGTAGCTGGGATTACAGGCATGCACCACCATGCCTTGCTAATTTTTGTATTTTTAGTAAAGACGGGGTTTCGGCATGTTGGCCAGTCTGGTCTTGAACTCCTGACCTCAGGTGACCTGCCCATCTCAGCCTCCCAAAGTGCTGGGATTACAGGCATGAGCCACATTAAGTGATTTTTTAAAATTTAACTATTTTAATCTTTATTATTATTTCCTATCAGAATTTTTTTGTTTTGTTTTGTTTTTTATTTTTTTGAGACGGAGTCTGGCTCTGTCCCCCAGGCTGGAGTGCAGTGGCACCATCTTGGCTCACTGCAAGCTCCACCTCCTGGGTTCAAGCCATTCTCCTGCCTCAGCCTCCCGAGTAGCTGGGACTACAGGCGCCCACCACCACGCCCTTCTAATTTTTTTGTATTTTTAGTAGAGACAGGGTTTCACCATGTTGGTCAGGATGGTCTTGAACTCCTGACCTCGTGATCCGCCCACCTCGGCCTCCCAAAGTGCTAGGATTACAGGCTTGAGTCACCTCACCTGGCCTCCTATCAGAATTTTTAATGGATTGACACTTTTGACCTCGTTGAGATTATAAAAAGGGATATTTTTAGAAACTTTCTCCTGTTTATCAGTGTGTTCCTTTTCTATTTTGTTTATTTGTTTATTTTTTGACAGATTTAGGGGATACTGGATATATTGCATAGTTGTGAAATCTATTTTTTAGTTTTTGGTTTCTTTAAGGGGTTAGTATTTGGTTGTTCATCTTCATATAAACTGCCTTCTTTAGAATATACATATATATATATATATTATATATATATATATGCCAAATAACTTTCTCTTTGCTTATTCTTTCAGAAGGAAGTGTGTTTTTGAACCCTCATTATAATAAAGATAGTCCTTTTAGAGTTTTTAAGGGTGTAGTTTAAAAAATTAGTCTTACATGAAGAGGGAAGAGGAAAGATTATATTTTCTGCATTCTCATATTGATAATCAGGAACTGTGTTTTTCTGTGAAGCACTGACGTATGGAGAAAAAATCCTCAGGGAACAGTGTGCTGATGTAATGCACCATCATTGCTGTGGGGATTAATTTTGATAGTTGGGAGTTAGTTTGGGGGCAAAACTCTCCTCTCTAATGGGCATATCTGATCTTGTGGAGAGCCTGTCTCAGTAGTAACCCCTTTCACAGGGCTCTCTGTGCCTCTATCGAGAGAATAGATTGCAGCAGGGCTTCTGGTACTGAAATTCACTCCGCATTCATATTTCCGTCTTGGAGCTGACACATACCTAAACCCCTCCTACCTCTCTTTGTAATGGTCATCCTTCAGTTCCAGTGTCTGGCACTCTAACTTGAGGTATCTTTGACAATTCTATTAAACTTATTTCCAGGTGGACTTTTCCATTGAGTTTATCATCCCACAGACTTGGCAATATTTTCCTTTATTCAATCCCTTCTGCATTATGTTTTGAAGAATAACCTTATAGATTTTGTCATTTCCCATGAAAATTTTAGAGAAAGGAAATTAAAATGTGCTGGTCCAAATCATCCACTTGAAATGAAGTGTTTCCTTCTAGTCCAGTATAGCATATCCTGTGAATAGTAGGACAGCACTTTCAAATTTTTTGAGAACATTCTGTGAAATAATAAAATGTCTCCATGGGGCTGAGGTTTTTTTGTGAGAAAATACAACATAAATGCAAAAACAAACTGTTCCTGAAATTGAAATGTTATTTTGCATAACTTGCATAATAATTTGGAGTTTCCAATAGACACCAACATAACCCCCCCCAACCTAATAAAAAAAAGAAGAAAAGAAAATGAAATAAATTTTTCTTAGAATTCTACTTCTGATTTGTCTCTTTTCATATTTAAGCATAAAAAAGAGGACATATTTGAGTTATGTATTAAATAGCATATTTACATTAATTAAATGCAATTCCATACTTTAGACTACTCAAATTTAATGTATTGATTAATGTTTTTCTCCATAGAATAATTACTAATTACTGTTAATTAAAAACTCCACATTTTAGAATAATAATTGGAGGGGGAAACAAACTATATGCAATGTCTCACATTTTCTCTCTACTACAGTAAAACGAACAAGAGGTATTTGATTGTTCAAATGTTATTAAAGATCATTTGGTTTTTAGATGACATTTACACCTAGCTTATACAAATCATCTATTGTTCATGCTTTAATGATTTTCTGCTGACTTATCATCTTATTATCCATGATCTATTATTTAAAATAAGCATAAATGCCAATCTGTGACCAGAAAATTGAAAGATTGATTGTCTATATATTTGCTTATTGTTCTGAGTAAATTTTATTTTTCCGTATGTCACCTAATTCTAGAAATAAGGCAAAATGAAGCTTATTTGCTAAGGATTTGTCTATAAGAATATGTTTATAATACCTATTATATACTTAGTACTTTTACAGTTTAACTCTTGGGGGCAATGATAGAGGGCATTTATTGTATGGCCCCTCATTTCAAAAAGCTCATCCTATTTTTGTTCAAAAAGATTATAGTATATTGCTCGTAATAGTCATTAATACTAAGCAACATACTATCAACAATTAAATTGTATTTTATAGATGATAAAAGTCAGAAAAGATCAACTTATAGAAAGTATAGTGAATGCTTGATATTCCAATGTATTTATAATGAAGATATAAGTTCAGTTTTATCTTATAGTAAGATTTGAATGAATAAAAGGTAAAAGAGACATTACAGGAGAAAGGATCATCAACTTGAGGAAACAAAAACAGAAGATAATATAGGTGAGAATTCACTCAAAGAAAGGATAACAAGTAAAAACATGCAATAACGGGAAAAGAGGTTTTATTTGTGGGAGAATGCACATTGAGCATGAATCTTTGTCAGGCATGGTAGCTAATGCCTGCAATCCCAGTAGTCTGGCAACCCAAGGCAAGAGGATTGCTTGAGCCCAAGAGCGCAGTGAGCCATTATTGTGCCACTGCACTCCAGCCAGGGCAAAAAAGTGAGACCTTGTCTCAAAAAAAAAAAAAAAAAGAAAGAAAGAAAGAAAAGAAAAAACAGAAATGAGCATGAATTATTGATTATTAAATGCTTTGTTATTATTAATATCCCTTTATGAGTATACACTTAGAAAGTAAAGTTATGTAAAGCTATGGTGATCTTAAAATATAGTATAAGTATGTTTCTGACATAGGAATAGAAGCAGATTATTAGATGGTCTGCCAGGCAGGGGCAGGGGCAGACCAAGCACATGGTACTGACATATGCATACAAATAGATCAGTAAATTAGAATAGAAAGTCCACCAATAAACCTAAATATACAAGAAAATTCAGTATGTGATAATGTGGTATCGCAAATAACTGAGGCAAATATGAATTTTTAAATCAATACTGTTGGGACAAATAATAGTTATTTAGACAGAAATGCAATTGGTTTCATAGTTTATACCACAAAGAACAATAAACTCCAAATAGATCACAGATTAAATAAAAAATAATAGAAACTTAAATATACTAGAAGAAAACATGGATGAATCCTTCTATAACATGAGTATAGGAAAAGGATTTCTAATGATTTAGTATCAAAATGCAACAGAAAACCTGAGTAAATTAAAATCAATTATATTAAACACTCTGTATGACAGTAAACACGATAAGCAACATCAAAAGACAAATGATGAACTAGGGGAAAAACAAACCATATATACCAGTAATGAAGAGTTATTGATACATTTATATATGTTTAAGGGCCTACTGTATGCCATTTAAAAAGTTGTGTGTTCATGTCTTTTGCCTATTTTTCTAACAGATTTTGGTGTTTTTACCATAAAATATTAAGGGTTTTTTAATATTAGCACAGACTTCAAGCAGTTCAGTGCTCTACTAAGGAGGCACAAGGGAAAAATTTTTATAAGGTGTTTGTGGAAGCAAGCCAAAAAATACACTTCATTGGTGTATTAGTCCATTCTCAGGCTGTTATAAAGTACTGCCCAAGGCTAGGTAATTTATAAAGGACAGAGGTTTAATTGAATCACACTTCCACATAGTTGGGCAGGCCTCAGAAAACTTATAACTGTGGCAGAAGGGGAAGCAAACACGTCCTTCTTCACATGGCAGCAGGAGGAGGAGTGCCAAGCAAAGGGAGTAAAAGCCCTTTATGAAACCATCAGATGTTGTGAGAACTCACTCACTATCACAAGAGCAACATGGAGGTAATCACCCCCATGATTCAATTACCTTTCACTGGGTCTCTCCCACAACACATGAGGTTTATGAGAACTACAGTTCAAGTTGAGATTTGAGTAGGGACACAGCCAAACCATATCAATTGGCTACAGTGAGAAGTCCTTAGTTAGAGGTTAGAGTGGTAGTTTCTGATTGGTTAAGCTTAAGTCTTGTTTTAATGTTCAGATTGAGTTGGGCTGTGATTGCTCACAAAGGAACCCAAAGCACTGGAGTCACCTCAGCATAATCGCCTCCCATTATTATTTTTAATAATGTCCCTTTTTGGTCAGCCTCTCATTTATAAGAGGTTAACCAAATCTTTGGCATTAGCATGACTCTGTGTCCCCATCATGACTGATTTGTCTTTGTGTGAAATTCATAAGTCATGGCATCAGGTCCATTGAAGACATTTTCTTTCTTATTTATTTATTTATTGGTCATTATAAGTGAGTGAGATGTTGATGGCTGTAAACATGCAGTTAAGATCCTTGAGAGAATACAGCACATCATGGAGAATACAATGATGACTATCAGAAGAATAATAGGAAAAGAGTGGTGGAGTATACTCCTAAGTCAGGGCCCCACAAACCAAACTAATTAATATTTAATGGAAACAAAACAAAGACGAGTGGCTAGAGTAAACTATAAACTCTATGTATATAGTTTACAGTCAGTTAAGAAGATTTCTAGATCTGAACTAAAAGATTTTTTCCTAGTTTGCCATTTGAATGACTGGTTATGACATCAAGCAAGTAATTGAACATTTAGCACCATGTTGTTGTTTTACGTACTCTACAAAAAGGGAAACAGTCAAGATCAATTTAAGGCAGTTGAGGTGCAAAGAAGAGGCTGAACCAAAAGAGAATGCAAACAGAAACCAGGAAATCAAACTGTGTTTCAAAATGAATGGAATTATCGTCATTGAAAGGTTGGGGCAGGTGGGAAAGAACTGAACACAATACTTTGAATATTTATTCTAAGTGAAAAGTTAAAAGTAATTGCAAACAATTCCTGAACTATAGCTATTAGATTTGATTTCAAAGAAGTATTGGTTACTAATTTTATAATCTACTTTCCATGTACTGTGGAATTCAGCAAAGGAATCTATACATGATGATGATAAGAGGCAGATCTCTTACCACCAGTGATAGGAGATACAAATATGGAACGAAGGAAGGCTATGAAGAACCCTAGGTTTGAAATTGAAAATGGACACAGGAGTATGCATTCACACTTTTACAGACACAGGTAAAGATAGAGATATGTGTGGCTGGGCACGGTGGCTAATGCCTGTAATCCCAGCACTTTGGGAGGCTGAGGCGGGCAGATGACAAGGTCAGGAGATCAAGACCATCCTGGCCAACATGGTGAAACCCCGCTTCTACTAAAAATACAAAAAATTACCTGGGTGTGGTGGCATGCACCTGTAGTCCCAGCTACTCAGGAGGCTGAGGCAGAAGAATTGTTTGAACTCAGAAGGTGGAGGTTGCCGTGAGCCAAGATTGTGCCACTGAACTCCTGCCTGGGCGACAGAGTGAGACTCTGTCTCAAAAAAAAAAAAGATATAGATATGTGTGTGAATTGTATGTGTGTGTGTGTGTGTGTGTGTTTCCAAGGTCTATCTGTTGAGCAGCCCTAGGAGGAATGACTATCCAGTAGCAATACACATAATTAATACTCTCCACTAAAAGGAACTAGAACTCCATAGAAAAATAGCGAATTTCCTTGCTGAGGCAGAAAAAAAAAAAAAAACCTAGATCATTTTTATGCCAAAACATAAGAATATGTTTACAACTATGAGGGCATTTCAAAGGGACACAATATAACCAGCTTGAGTGGGCTTCCACTAGCCAAATCTGAACAATGTGAACATTAGAGCACATAACAGTAGTGGATTACAACCCAATGAATAAAGTAAAAATATTAGTCCTACTGAAAATGATAGATCTATAGATAGATAATAGATAGATCACAAAAAACCTTCTGTCTTAGAGTAGGATACAAACCAATAAATATATTACTAATGATAGAAAATTATTATTTGACAGTATTCATAGTGTGACTTAATTCAGGAAAGAATGACTGGTAGATGCAATATTGGTGGGCCCAATTTTGAAGAGAGACAGCATATTCTTTTGGTCATAAAATATCTATTCATAAATTAGTTATTAATTACAAAGAGAAAAAAACAGTAACTTTAAAATATTGAAAAACTTATTGGGAACCAACTATCCAAATGAACAGTTAACATCATCAATATCGAAACAAACCCTTACCATGACTCACTTGACTCAATACACTGAGAAGGACACAAAATCACTTCTAGGGTGTCCTTCCCCAAAATGCATAACCTGAATCTAGTGAGAAAAAAAGAACAGACAAATAAAAACTGATTAGTCTTTGTTCCAGTTGCTGTTGCAACAAATCGCCACATCCTTTGTGGTTAAAACAATACAAATTTATCTTACAGCTTTGGAGATCACAAGTCTAACGTGGGCCTGATGGAGCTAAAATCAAGATACCAGCAGAGCTATGTCGCTTCTGAAGGCTATCAGGGGCAATCTGTGTTTTCTGCCTTTTCCATCTTCTAGGAGTTGCTTGTATTTCTTGACTCATGACCCCTTCCTCCATCTTCAAAGCCAGTACTGTAGCATCTTGAAACCACCCCTCCTTCCCCTTCTCCCTCTCCCATGTCTATTTCCAATTGAAAACTATGAATCTCTAACTCTACCATTTTGCCTCCTCTTATAATTACCTTTGGGAATACATTGGCCCCACCTGGGTAATGCAAAATAATCTTCCCATTTCAGGATCCTAAATTTAATCACATCTGCAAAGTCACTTATGCCTTGTAATATAACATAGTCATATGGATTAGTAGGGGGACATCTTTGTGAGGCAATTATTCTGTATGTCACAGAGGCATTTATAATATAACTGTACCTTAAACAAATGTCAATATCATAAAACAAAAAGACACTGAGGATTCAGTGAAATTAAAGAAGACTAAAAGATACACAAAAAGTAAGTACAGTGCATGATCTTGGATTAGATTTTGGACCATAAAAATATTGCTATAAAATATTATTAGAATAATTGACATAATTTAAATAATTGAACTATGATTATATTAGTGAATGTTCTTGTTCTGAGGGAAAAAAATGCACAGAAGTATTTAGGAATAAAAAGGCATACTGCAGCAACATACTCCCAAATGGATTAATAATAATAATAAAAAATAAACATAAAGAATGACAGAGTAAATTTGGTAAAATATCAATAATTGGTTAGTCTATTAAAGAGATGCAGGAGTTCCTTGTGAGAATTTTGCTCATTTTTCTGTATCTTTGAAATTGTTTCCAAATAAAACCATATAAAATACGCTTTCCAAAAGATCTCTTACATTATGATATTATCAGGTAAGCTCTTTATTTTCAGTGCATATAGAAACAGGGTTAAACAGATGTTATCCTTATGACTTGTCAACTGAGGATGAGAGGAAAAAGTAGATAAACAAAATTCAGGTGAGAAGGTACTAGAGTCAAATGTTTCAGGATTGGTCCCTAAAGTGAGGTTGCCTTTCTGTCCAGTGAGATGGTATTACATCGGACTGTGAGGTCAGTGATAAATTAGAACTTCTTTCTGAGCTTTAGAGTATTTCAGAAGATTTTTTCAGTAGTGGAGTAAGATGATAGAAGCAATAATTAAGGCATAAGTTTTGATGATGGATTGAAGGAAAATAACTTTAGAATTTGGCAGCTATGGGAACTTACAACATGCTGTATGTATTTTTTAGCATTCTAATTTTGCGATGGTAAGAATCGAAGCTTGTATATCAGCAGGTGGCCTGGAGAGGAAGAGAAATGGAGTTATCACAAAAAGGAATCTATAGTACTTGAAAACAAGCAAGATACAGCAAGACAGAGAAAGATGAACCTAAGAAGAATAAGACTTTTTTGTTTTTAGTTTGGATGACGAAGCAAATAATGGAACCTGTGACAGGAAAATTGGTATGTGAAGATGATTAATTTAATATTTGGCATTATAAGGCTTACTGAATGGTAAGATAAATAATAAGATAATCAGTAAGATATTGCAGGTGTAGGACCTGATCTCAGTAGATACAAAAGGAAGTTCGGTTATAAAACTTAGTCAGCAGAAGACGCCTACTGATTCTGATAACCCACATTAACATTAGGCCTAGAGTTATTTGATGTTATGGAAACACGGAAAATCTAATATGGTAAGAAGAGAAATCAATTTTAACTTAATCTATTTCCATACACACTGCAATAAGCTGTCAGTTTATGCTATTTAAAATTTCCATTTCAAGATAAAATGGATTTTGTATGTATAATTTGTCTCTAATTTTATCATGTACTGTTATTTTAAGGCAATGTGTCAGATCCATTTTAATCAAGATTTCATAATTTTAGAACCTGTGTAAAAATTAACTTCAGAATCTATGAAATTACACTCGAGTTGTCATCAGTAATTCCTAATGGTACTTTTTAGAAAAAAATTCATTCATTCCCTCCTTCAAATATGCAATATAAATTCTACTCTGTTAATGGGTTCTGCAAAACTGATGACTATGGCTTAGCAGTTAAATATTCTGCAGGGATTTTTCTTCTTTTTCACATTTCCAAGTTCTACAGCCCCCTGAAGAACTTCCAACTGAAGAAAAAGTTCTATTTTTTGTTTTATCTATCTATACTTCTAACTAAATCCAGTTGACTGCTCTTCATGGGATCCCATAGTTGTGTAGCATCCTTTAAAAGAAATAGCCTCCATCATCATATACAACATTTATTGAGCACTTGCAATGTATTAAATGTCGTATTAGTGGATAATAATTTAACAGACAAGAAAGTACAGTGTATTTATTTTCTTTTGCTTCTGTAACAGATTGCCACAATCATAGTCCCTTATAATACTTCAGAATTACACTCTTACAGTTCTGGAGATCAAAAGTCTAAAAACAAGGTGTTAGTAAGGCTGTGTTCCTTTAGGAGGCTTCATGGAAGAATCTTTTTCTTTACCTTTTCCAGCTTCTAGAAGTCTTCTCATTCTTTGGCTCATGGCTCTTCCTCCATCTCCAAAGCCTATCACTCCTACCTCTCCTTATGTCCCAACTCCTTTTGCCTTTGACCTTTTTACCTCTCTGCTATAAGGACCTTGTGATTACATTGGGTTTACCTAGACCCAGGATAATATCTTTAATTTATTCACATCTTCAATGTCCCTTTTACCATTAAAGATAACATATTCACAGGTTCTGGAAATTAAGAAGTAGACATCTTTGGTCTCAAGCTCCTGACCTCAACTGATCCATGCACCTCTGCCTCCCAAAGTGCTGGGATTACAGGTGTGAGCCACTGCACCTGGCCTAGAAGTACACATCTTTGAGAAGCCATTATTTTGTCTACCACACATCAGTCAGAGATATAAAAATCTTGCCAATGTCACCCAATTTCTTACAGAGCAGAGGTCCACAAACTCAGAACTGTAAAACTACAAATCATGTGCACCCAATCGCTACACCTTGCTGTCCTCCCAGATAGGTCTTACAGTCTCCATCCTTCTTAAAATTCCTACCTACATTGACTCCCAATAATAGTGTCACAAAACACATATACTTCATATATTGAGGACTTTAGAAATGGAATCACTGTAAGAACACCTGTTTTATTCCTTCAAGAAAATTTGGGCATATACTACTTGTCTGTAAGCCTTACTATGCTTTTTTATATTTCGAATTTTTCAGTGTCAGACACAAAAGAGGTGATAGAGCTGAGTTGTTTGATCTTGACTCTATAATAGAAAATTAAACAAAACAACACAAAATCTCTTTGTTGCTTCATGTTCTTGCTACCTGTATTTTCACCTAAAGCCAGTGTGCTATGCCCTTTTGTATTTCATATTCACATAATGGCCTTAAAAATATATCCAAAATACATTATTTATTTCAGAGTAATGGATATCCACTTTTAAGTTATTGAATGTGAAGCCTTAAAGAATTGATGTAAATACCAAAGCAAACACAACAGTCAACTACAGAACTCTTGTCAAGATAGGGTAAATTATTTTGTCACTGACTTCTTAATCTTTCTGTTTTTATATATGTTCCTTTGGTGTCATGAATATCTCCATGTGCTGAGCAGAATTTTATATCTAAGAAACGAGCATCGGTACAATATCAGATTTTTAAAAAATTGAGGAGTTGATTCTGGGAATGAGAGGGGTGTCTCCAAATACTTTTAAGAATATATTCCCAAGCTACACAGTATCTTGAAATAATATTTATTAGACATTTAAATTAGAAATTAATCTGTATAGAGTCGCAATATCTAACTATTAATAAGTTTATGAAATTCAGCTTCCTAACTCTCAGATTCTGACGGTTAATTGTTGTTATATTTTGGATATTCCCAATCTTTAACATATACTTCTGTTGTTAAAAAGAGTGGGTCCTTAAAATTAGCCTATGCAATCACATTGCACTTAAGTATAAAATTTCTATAGATCATAATGTGACCTAAAACTTCTGGATCATTTTAGTATATTCTTCCCCACAACCTTTCATTTTCAACATTGTCAAAAAATTATTTAATGTAGCAATGGTAACATTCCATAAATCTATAAATTCATGTGCATTCTGATATTCTACGCCCTAATAGCATCATTGCTCAACAATGTTGTGTAAACTCAGAACTTTTTTATGCGTAGCACTATTTTGAAATTATTTTGCTTCTTTTTCCCTTTTATTGCTTTTTCATATTTTCTTAGAACAACAAATTCTTAGTTCTCCTTTTGTATTTTCTAATTATACTTGCTAAGATATGCCATTGTAAGCTAACACAGTATGAAATGTAAGGTTCTTCATGATTTCTTTTTTTAAAATGTTAGAAAGGAAAACAATCCTATACTTTCTTTTGAATAGAATGTTAATCATTTTATCTGAAAGAATAAGAAATAAGTTTAAAATAGTATGTCAAAAAATTGACACAAATAGTCTCAAATGAACTTCATGTCATAATAGCTTTGCTCTTTATTGCATTAGTAATATTATAATTCAGTTTGGCACATTTTCTAAATTAGGTTGATTGCATCAAGACCATCAGATAGAACATGCAGCTTTTTTGCATAAAACCAGAAAATAGATAAACTGTATGTTACTCAGCGTGCTCACATTTTCCACAATTGTTGAGTTCTTAGACCTTATGTTCCAGATATAGATAAGCATGGCTATTATTATGCTAGAGTCTAAAACAGGAAAAATAAGAAAATTGTCATGCCTCAATTAAGGAAACACCGTCAGACTATTTTAAAAGATGTTTTTACTTATTATATTTTTACTTTCTGGAAGGAATGTGAAATAAAATAACTACCAAGGAGCACATGTTCAAATATAGTGTAGTTACTTATTAATCTGTTTAATACTATGCTTTTAAAGGGAAGTATATTATTGGAAGTTATTACATTAACTTTAAATGCACCACTAGGATTAAGTAATTTATACAGTATGCTGACGCAGTGCCAAAATAGAGGCCCAATTAATTTTTCTAGCACAAAATTTTTCCATATGTAGTATTTATTTATAATTCTCCCTTTTACTGTAATTTGTTGTTTGTATTTAAATAATTTAAGCATGACCCAGCTTCTATATAATAGCTCTTACCAGAAGGTCAGTTGATACTTACTTGAGGGAATATGTTATAAATGCATTTTGTAAAAATTGTGTACTTAATAATAACATAGATAGTTACCATTTTTAGTAGTTTCTATGTATTTGATATTGTAATATATGCTGGTGTTCACAATAATCCTTCAAAGTAATGGTCTCTCTGTTTCAGATTAATAAGGTGAAGATCAAGGAATTTAACCTGACTAGTAGACTGCATAAGTTATTTTAATGTGCCTAGCCTTTTTAGCAGCATGAAAAAAAATCTAGCATTTCCAAACAGTAGTGATCATGATGAAAAATCCACTTAAACTTTCATCATATAAAGACCAACTGAAAGTTTCATAATATTTAGAGTGCATTTTGTCAGTCTTACAATAATTTTAAAGGCAGACATATTGTATAAGGCTTATATTTGTTCTGAATAACTCTAGAAGATATCACAATTTAAACATATTTATGGAATATTTTGTCAGACACTATGCTCGATATTTAGTCAATTCAGGCTGCTATCACAAAGTATCATAGATTGAGTGGCTTATAAACAACAGAAATCTATTTCTCACTATTCTGGAGGCTAGAAGTCTGAGATCAGGGTGCCAGCATGGTTGGGTTCTGGTGAGGGCCCACTTCCCGATTGCAGACTGCTGTCTTCTCATTGCATTCTTATATGGTAGAAAGGGGACAGGAGAGCTCTCCAGAATCTCTTTTTACAGGCGCACCAATCACTTCAAGAAGCCTCTACGATCATTACCTAATTACTTCCCCAAATTCTCACCTCCTAAAGCTATCACATTGGGGATTACGATGTCAAAATATGCATATTGAGAGAACACAAACATTCAGTTGATAAAATTTAAATCTGTATTAATCGGGGTTCTTCAGGGAAACAGAACCTATATATATGTATAAAGTTATTCTTACCTTTCTATGCATATATTTGACATATGCATTATGGACATTAAAACCAAGATGATGATTAAACATAATAGGTAGCAGGCCTATATGAATAAGGTTTTACGTATAATTATTAATTATATTTTTGTTTGTGGTATATAAGATGTATTCTACAAGTTCACTAAACTTGTTTAATAGACATCTCATCTCTATCTTAGGACATATTTTTGATAATTTTTTATAATGTAATGATTTGACACAGCTACACAGCTGAAGAAAAAGGTAGCAGCATACCCATTTATATTACAGTATTTCCTCACCATATGATAACAGAAGTAAAATTTAAATTCTATCACAAACCGCATATTCAATATAAATTGAAGGCAGAAATTGCTGAAACCTCAAAATGACTCTAAGTAAAAAGAAAAAAATCACTAAATCCAGCACACAATCTTGCATGCTACATTCCCCGTCCCAACCCACTCTAAGACTATGCAACAAGCAAAGGCAATTAGGAAAATTGCAAAGAAGACAAAAGAAGAAACTTAGAAAAAGACAAAAGACTAAGCCCATCCTAAGTCTAAAAATACTGAAAATTAAAACAAAAATGATCAAATTACAGTATGATTAGAGCATGGGCTACAGAGAAGGAATGCCCAAGTATATGTGATGTAAAGGGGCAGGCATGGCTTAAATCAGCACTCTTGGAAACATGCAGCTTCTGAGAAACTTAAAGATGAAAAAGGAGAAATAAGCACCTTTTGGCAATTGGGTAACAAAGGGAAAAGAGAAGAAAAGGGAAGAATTTGAAATTCTTCAAGACAAAAGGCAATCATAAAAATTAGAATCATAAACCCATATGCCTACCACAAAAACAAAAAGACAATGCTGTACTCTCTCTTCAAACACACAACCTAGTCAAATTACCTGGAGTTTGCTTTGCTGGCAAACGAAGGTAACCATTAAACTAGGAACCTTGCAAAATGCTACAACATCACAAAAATGAACAGGAGAAAATTTAAGTTCATTCAGAGCTATTGCAGAAGATGATTTGGAGAAAAAAAAAATCTCAATATAAAAAGTGAATTGTAGGCTAGGCACAGCGGCTCACATCTGTAATCACAGCATTTTGGGAGGCCAAGGAAAGCAGATCGCTTGAGATCGGGAGTTCGAGACCAGCCTGACCAACATGGAGGAACGCCATCTCTACTAAAAATACAAAATTAGCCGGGCATGGTGGCACATGCCTGTAATCCCAGCTACACGGGAGGCTGAGTCAGGAGAATTGCTTGAACCCGGGAGGCAGAGGTTGCAGTGAGCTGAGATCACTCCGTTGCACTCCAGCCTGGGCAACAAGAGCAAAACTCATCTCAAAATAAATAAACAAATAATTGTAAAATTCCCAGAGGAAAATAGTTGCAAAAGTAAATTTAGTAAGAGGCATCAGAGAAAAGCAGGAAAACAATTAAGAATTAAGAGAATGATATAAAGAAATAAGTAAAAATGGAAAGCATGAAAGTACTGGAAATAGGAAACAAAGAAGAAAAATTGTTCATAATATTGCAGTCTCTGAGAAAAACTTAAGAGTACTAATATTTAAAACAATAATATAAACAAATATTCTAAAAATTTTAAAAAGACTTCAGTCTACTCATTGAAAATGCTCATTGGATACCTGGGAAAATTAACACAGAAATGTTTACCCTGAGACACATCTTACTGAAATCATTCCATTTCAAAAGATAAAGGCCTCAATCTCACCAGGCATAAAGAGTAAATGACTTACAAAGGTAAAACAAATAGACAAACATCAGTTTTTTTTAATACCAATATTCAAAGCAAGGCAATAAACTTAATAAGAGATCTAATGAGAAAATATATTTTGCACCATACATTTTATTTCCAGCCAAGTTTTCCTTCAAGTATCAAAGCTATAGCTAAACCATTTTTTAAAAAACATACAAGGCTTAGGGAATTGTGTCCCCATTAGATTTCTAGATGACAAACCTCATCCAACCCAGTGATGATGGAAAATTTACGCAAAAGGATGGGTAGTGGCAATATAGACATTATATAAATGTACATCTAAGACAAAAGCAATGGTAGACATGAGGGTGGAAGACTAATAAACAAATGTAAATATTTCGACAAAATAGAAATAAAGCAAATACAAAATGGGAGGAGAAAGGAGAAGGAAAGAGGAAAAAAATATAATAATCTGTTGTAATAAAAGAGCATAAAGTGTACCATATTTTAAAAAGAAACTAAAAGATTAAATAAACAAGCAGGAGCCTAAAGGCATTAGAAAGATTTTAAATATAAAAGTAACCACTACAACACACACACACGCACACACATGTGTATGCCACATCTCCCAGAGGAAAAATATAGTTATTATTGCCAAAGAGATATAATTATAATATTTTATGACAGAGTTGAGATCAAACATAGTCCTGCCAATAAATCTGAATTAGTGTAACTTGCCTAACGAGAGAAAAAAATTTTAATTTAAGTCTTAAATCAAGATTCAAGTATACACTCTTTACAACAGAAAACAAACCTGAAACAAAATGATCTATAAAAGCTAAAAATAAAGGTGCGGACAAATACATCTTGGAAAATGAATAAAGAGAACTACAGCAGCAATTCTACTACCAAAGTACAAATCAATCCCAAAAGCATTAAATATGAAAAGCAAGGACATTCATGAACGTTAAAAAGCCAGTATTAGAAATAAAGATAAAGTAGTAATACCTGTGCTGTGGAGAGCAGCCAGGTGTCAAGGCGGTCAAATAGAATAATAAGTAGCCAAACTGAGAACATGGGAAGTTCCAGTGGGTCAGTGCACATGACTGGGGAGGTGGCAGGCGCTGGCATACTGCTGAGAACTTAATGACAACCCTCTCTAGAGACTACAGCACTGCACAGAGTACTGTGTGGGACGGTGGCTTTCACCCATGAAATGTGCCAGGTAAATCCTTTGTTATTGTTCATGTTTGGACCTTAAAGATCCCACATAGGATTTTGGCCTGCAGCCACACTCATATGTAACAATCATGTTTATGAAGTTAAAACTCTACAGGAGGTACAAGGAGACATAGAAATAAACATTAACATATAGGATACTTTAAAGCATCATTTTAGAACAAAGGTCTAAAACCCAGTAGAAAGCAAAATGACAAAGTCATGAAAAGACAAATACACACACACATGCAATACACTCATGTTATATGAAACGTATATATTTTATATATGAAAAATATTCAAAATCTCTCATAATTAGAGAAATGTAAATTAAAACAACATCTAAATACCATTTCTCATCCATCAGCTGGCAGAAATTAAAAAGTAAAACCAGAAATTCTGTTGGTAAAGCTGTGGGAAAACAGTAATACTTCTATATTGTTGGTGGAAATGCAAACTGCTACAATTTTTCAAGAGAGGAATTTAGCAATATCCAACAAAATTACAAATGCACCTAACCCCTTTGATCCAATAACCCCACTGCTAAGAAACTTTCTTAAAGATATGCCTAAAACCATATACACCAACAGGTTAGTCATCGCAGCATTGTTCATGAAAACTATTAGACACATTCAAAATTCCAATACCTAGAAGAATGGTTGACTAAATTATGGTACATCTACACAATCAAGTACTATTTGTCTGTAGGAAACAATAAGGTAATCTCTATAAACTGACTTTATAGTGACTGGAGTCACTTTCAGGACATACAGTTAGGTAGAAAAAAGCAAAAAGCAAACAAGTATATATAGTACGCTATCCTTTGTGTAAGAAAGAAAGAGATGTAAGGAAACAACGTGTGTGTGTGTGCACACGTGCACACAAATACACTCATTTGTACAAAAGAAATGCATGAAGGTTAAACCAGAAACTAAAGAGATTTGTTAGTTACAGGGCCCAGATGGGAAGAGTGAAAACAAGGAAAAACTAGGAATTGAGTAAAAGAGATGAAAAGAAGGGGACACTGCTATGATTATAATTTGTGTAGCATTGACTCTGAACCATATTAGTGTTCACATATCCCCTAATAAATAAATAAAACCAATCAGGACGTGCTGGGAACCTGTAAAGGAGTATAAGCAGTCAAAAAAATAAACCCAACTGTATTAAGAATGAATTCTATCACCATACTGAAGAAGATAAGGAATGTTTAAGGTTAAAAAACTTTAGATAAGTCTTTGACCCAGAAGGATTTGCAGGTTCATAAAAATAGGCTCATCAGGCTCCTACTTCAACAAAAGCTGTGATTAACTGTTGTTATTCAAAACAGCACTAGACCACGTTTGTTACAGAATACACTTTTAACGAATGAATGAACAAATGAATGATAAATTTGAAAATGTAAGGGTTAGATCTTTGGTTCTCATTGGCTGGGATTTTGACCCTCAGAAGACACTGGGCATTGCTTAGAACAAAGGCTTTGATTGTCAAAACAAATCAAAGAAGGTAGTTGCTATTGCCATCTAGTGGATAGCTCCTGGCATCTAGTGGGTAGAGGCCAGGACTACTGCTAAACATCCCACAATCTAGAGGGCAGCCCCAATCAACAAAGAACTATCCAACCCCAAAGATCAAACTGCCAAGGGTGAGAAATTGATTTAGACCAAACACAGTTGTTATAACTAGTAATAGTGAGAATCTGTATGTTTCTAATATGTATATGAAAAATGAGTATTCAAGATAGTCCATGATATCACAAAAATGATTTATATAAATCTAAGAGAACAATGATAATTGCACTGATCTTGAACACTGCGGTAAAACAATCCCCTTTCTGTTGTTTTACTGTTGTGGTGAAAATCACATACATTAAGTCAGGTTTTCCCAACATTTGATCAGAGAACTATATGTTCTCTTTTTGGAAGTGAAAATATCTTTTAAAACTCATCAAACATTCTAATTACTCTATTCTTTGTTCTGCACAAAAATTAACCACAGCTTCCTGCAGAAGACAAGGATGCAGATGTTGCTTTTACATTCAGCCAGATGATTTCATTAAAATCAAATTGTAAACTCAAATATATGTTTCAATCTCTTCTCTTCCCTATGGCAACAGCATTTTAAGTCCTAGATTATCAACTTTGTATAAAACATAGGCTAACAAATCAGTTTAGAAATATCACATTAAAATCAATGCAAGAAAAGCATTATAATTTTATGAAGGGTAGTCATGTATTTTGAAATCAATTTTTCACATTTTATGCTATTAAGTATATTTCTCAAGTGGAATTTTTAAAAGTTCTGAGGACATTTTGAATTCAGGGAGCTCAGCATACTAACACGTTTAAAATCTCTTCCGATAGCAAGAAGGCTCCACTATTTTTCTAGCAGAACATTTATTCCTCATCTTCCACTTGATCCTGTTAGCCATATATATTGAGTGTGAATACTTCACAATTTATAGTTCATATGTGTTCTCTATGATCACATACCACCAGTATATTATAAACTGTCTTTTTCTTTTCTTTTCTTTTCTTTTTTGAGATAGAGTCTCGCTCTGTCACCCAGGCTGGAGAGCAGTGGCGCGATCTTGGCTCACTGCAACCTCCACCTCCCAGGTTTTAGAGATTGTCCTGCCTCAGCCTCCTGAGTAGCTGGCCCAAGAGGTGCATGCCACCATTCCCGGATAATTTTTTGTATTTTTAGTAGAGATGAAGTTTCACCGTGTTAGTCAGGATGGTCCTGATCTGACCCCGTGACCTGCCCCTCTCGGCCTCCCAAAGTTCTGGAATTATAGGTGCGAGCCACCGCACCTGGCCTCTACTGTCTTTTTTTTCTAAGTAATATAAAAGTAATTTATTGTCACAATTTGTTTTTAAGTATACAGTGATTTGCGAGTTTTCCAGAATTCTCAAGTGGCTTAGTCACAAGTGGAATGGTTTGAGAAACATTCAACTAGGCAATGCATATGATTTGGACTCAAATGGATTATTTATTTACTCGCATATTCCTGTGAAAGGAGATAAGTGGCACTACAATAGAGAATATTCAAAGGAAGTGTTTTTTACCTAAATGTTACAAGATCACTATATACATATATATATATACACATATATATATATGTGTATATATATATTTTATACTTTAAGTTCTGGGGTACATGTGCAGTTTTGTTGCATAGGTATACACGTGCAATGGTGGTTTGCTGCACCCATCAACCCGTCATCTACATTAGGTATTTCTGCTAATGCTCTCCCTCCCGGAGCCCCCTACCCCCCGACAGGCCCCAGTGTGTGATGTTCCCCTCCCTGTGTCCATGTGTTCTTATTGTTCAACTCCCACTTAAGAGTGAGAACATGCGGTGTTTCGTTTATATTTAAACTGATATTATAGTTTATAGCATTTGAACTCTAAATAGGATTAAAAAGATGCATAAAAATGATCACTGTGTTTGGGGCTAATAATCATACAAACAGCAATAGAAGCTACTATTTACTGACCATCTGCTGTAGCACTATGTTCAGAACTTTACAGATACTGTTATTACCTCAATAATATTGACAATAATTGTATGAGGTAGGTTTGAATTGCTCCATTTTACCTATGAGGAAATCGAGATTCAAAGATGGTATAAAATTTTCATGAAGTTATACATATATAAAAGCATATAAAAGGTAGTTGGAGATAAAGACAAATCTGTCAAATTTTAAATCCATATTATTGCCACCAGACTAGCCCACCAATTTGCATTCTCTGTCTTTACTACATCCAATAAGGCTTTAAGACAAGAGGATAGCCTAGAAGGTTTATAAGTGTCAACAATTCAAATTAAGACAAATCGAGGGGCAGTATTATTGTGTTTTGAAATTAGTTCTTGGACAAAATACAGTCACTTTTCTAAAGGCAGTATATAAGATGGTGACTCAAATCACATCCTTGGGTTCAAATCCCTGTTCTGCCACGTATGCTGTGACAACTGGAACATTACTTAATTCCTTAGTTCCTCAGATCTCTCATTCCCACACTCATAGAGTTACTGCACTATTAAATGTGATAGTATATGTAAAATATCTGACATATAAGGTGTATGCAATTAACAGCAGCTTCTGTTGCTGCTGCTTTCTTGTTGTTGTTGCTATTATTATTATTATTATTGCTCCAGGATAGCGTAGAACAACACATAATTCTATTTAATATCCTTTGCACACATCACTAAATATGAGCTAGAGTTATCTTGTTAATGACATTTGTACCTTTAGTTCTCACATCTTGTGATTCTCAGAAAAACTTTCCATTTCTAGTTCTTTCATTTTCTTGATACTTCGTACGTCAGGAATTCTAAAGCTATTAAAAGAATCATACTTTTTTAAGAACTTGATCTGTACCTTGTGTAACCAGGTAGGCAAGAAAAATATCAGAAAGTATCAACCAGGATTAATTTTAGGGGTAAACATTTGATTTCCCTTTCAAAAAAATCACAAAATGATAAAGTTTTCAAAATTATTAAGAATGTCAGAATTTCATGCACATGAACTCTTGTCTTCATGCACCATTTGCTTCCTTGCTGTTTTGGAGAGCAAGGAATATCTTTCTCATCAGGAATTAACATTTGTCTTACATCTTAGACATAACTTTTAAGTATTAAATTTAATTTTAGTTTATTGCTATGCTAACACCTTCTAATAATGGGTATAAAATTATATAAATTCTAATGTAACTTCAAAAATCACAAGAAAAACCTTTTTAATAAGTAAAATTATTAAAATCTGTAGATAGCACATATGTTTTGATACTTCATAAATTATTACTTAGAATTCATGCATAAAGGAATGTCTATCAAAATGTATTCTTAATTGGATTATTTACAGCAACAATTAGTTTATTATTATTCATTGTTATTCATGTTATTTGTTATTTGTTTTGCTTCTCTGACAAATTTGTATAATTGCTATACAAATAATTTTTTATATAATATAATATTTATACAATTTTATTGTATATTTTAATTTATATATTATAATTTTATTATTGTTAAACAATAATACAAATTTAATATCATAGAGTATTTAGAATATCTGAAAAGTACACACGATACTTTTATGTTTAAACCTAAGTCTGAATTTCTAACGTTTATTCACAACGTAGATATTAAGTTTTTATTCAGTATTTTCAGGATTCATGATCTATCTCAGAAAATAATAGCACACCTGAGTCCCAGCTATATTAGCCCATAACTCTTTAGTGTAAAGCTATCACCATGAGGTATGCTGTTTTCCATATATCTCTGTCATCTGGAATGAAAAATATGCTTAGATTGAATTTCTTATATTTTGGTACTGCTTTTTCTCTCTGTGTCATAATCTAGCTATGTAACATTTTTCCATAAATGCATTTGGTTGTCTAAGAAAGACTATTTCTCCTTCACTTATGAAGGATAATTTTGCTGCATATAGTCCATTTGCATGGCAGTTTATTTTTTTTTCTTTTAGCACTTTGAATATATCCAGTCTTCCTTGGCATGTGGAGTTTCTGCTGAGAAGTTCATTGTTAGTCTGATGGGGGATACTTTTTTAATTTTTAATTTTTGTGGGTACCTAGTAGATGTATATATTTATGAGGTCCATGAGATATTTTGATACAAGAATACAATGCATAATAATTACATTATGAAAGATAGGGGTATTCATTCTCTCAAACATTTATCCTTTGGGTTACAAACAATCCAATTATACTCTTTTTGTTATTTGTAAATGTATAATTAAATTATTATTGACTATGGTCACTCTGTTGTGCCAGAAAATATTAGTTCATATTCATTCATTCTAACTATTTTTTGTACCCATTAATCATCCCCACCTCCCTCTCCCTGCCCCTTCCCAGCCTCTGGTAATCATTCTATACTCTCTATCTTCATAGGTTCAATTGTTCTGACTCTTAGATCCCACAAATAAGTGAGACCTTGTAATGTTTGTCTTTCTGTGTCTGGCTTATTTCACTTAACATAATGATCTCCAGTTCCATTCATGTTGTAACAAATAACAGAATCTCATTTTTTATGGCTAAATAGTACTTCATTGTGTATAAGTACCACATTTTCTTTATCCATTTATCTGTTGATGAACACTTAGGTTGCTTCCAAATCTTAGCAATTGTGAACAGAACTGCAAAAAACATGAGAGTGCAGATATCTCTTTGATTCATTGATTTCCTTTTTAGGGGATATAGACCCAGCAGTGGGATTGCTGGATCATATGGCAGCTCTACTTTTCAATTCTTTGGAAACCTCCCACAGAAGAGAATATTTTCCTAAAGATGTTCTCTATAGTGGCTGTATTAGTTTACATTGCCATCAACAAGTATATGAGGGTTCTCTTTTCTTTACATCCTCACCAGCATTCATTATTACCAGTATTTTAGAATTAAGCCATTTCAAATGGGGTGAGATGGGGGATTTCTTATACGTAAATAGATGCTTTTATTTTGCTAATTTTAGATTTTCTCTTTGTTGTTGACTTTAGACAGTTTGACTACAATGTGCCATGGAGAAGGCTTTTTGGATTAAATCTCATTGGTGATTGCTGGGCCTCCTGTATGTAGATGTCTTAATCCCTTGCCAGTCTTGGGAAGTTTTCATCCATTATTTCATTTTCATTAAATAAGTTTTCAAACCCTTTCATTCTTTTTTCACCTTCTTGGATACCAATAATTCATATATTTGTTTGCTTTATGGTGTTCCATATATATAATGCAGACTTTATTCATTCTTTTTCCCTTATTTTTGTTTACAGGGTTATTTCAAAATTTCTGTCTTTAAGTTCTAAAATTCTCTCTTCTGTTCGGTCCAGCCTATTGGTAAGGCTTTGAAGTGTGTTCTGTATTTCATCCAAGGAATTCTTTAATTTCAGAGTTTCTGGGTTTGTTTTTTTTTAATAAGAATTATCTTTTTGGTAAATTTTTCATTCATATCCTGAATTTAAAACAAAAAAATTGTATTGTTTTTCAGAACTCTATTGAAACTTACTCAGCTGCTTTAGTATCATAATTTTGAACTCTTTTTTCAGGACTTCATGCATTTCTTTTTGGTTGGGCTATTTGTTGCTGGGGGATTATTGTGTTTGGATGTGTCTTTTTTTTTTTTTTTTTGCTTTTCCTGCTTTCTTATCCCTACATTGGTATCTGCACAACTAGTGTAGTAGTTACTTATTCCAATCTTTTGAATTTGGTTTCACAGAGGAGAGTATTTTCCTAAAGATGTATTAATGGTGTTGGTTGGGTATGGCCCTTTGTCTTTGACTCTGGGTGTATGCAGAAGTATAGTCTCTGTATGAGTTCTTCAGTTGTAAACAGCATCAGTGGCACCTGTGATTTCTTATTGGTTTAGGTGTGATTATTAGTGTAGGCTATGGTGAAGGTTTGATTGGGGCAGGGATGTTGGAAGGCTTTGTCTTAGGACCCAGTGGTGGCAGCAGTGAGCAGATCACGCCTGACCTTGGACTCCAGGTATGCGTACCCCGGCATTGTTGTTAGCAGGAACAAGCGGGTTGGTTCTCTAGCCACCAGATGGCTTACTCAAATGCCTGTAGTGGCGGCAGTCGGCCAGGCAAGTGAGTAGGTTCTCAGGCCCCTGGGCAACCAGTGTGGTGTAGCAATAGCTGCCCCCATGGCAGGATGACCTTCTGGGTCCCAAGTGGTGTGAGCTGATGTTGGCTGTGGCTACAGTGTGGGGTAACCACACTCAGCCCCAGCCAAGGAGTCCTCGGGCTCTCCTGCTCTCTGTGGCAGTGTCCTTAGATTTTGAATAAAATAGTCTATTAAGTCAAACCCAGAAATTAATTAAACAGAAGTGCTTTTTTTCCTTCAAAGATTTTATGTATAAAAGATGTAATATACTCTATTGCAACATTACTGACGTAAATACTTTCATGAACAGCAAGGCGTATAAAATTCTAGACAAAAACAAGGAATTCATATGAGGCTATAAGTGCAAATATATTAGTTTAATGGGATTGGGATGCTATCTTCTATCTAATTCACTATCCTTATTGTTAGTTTTCTTTGGAAAGAAAGCATGATTCATATCTGGCCTCATGTCCCCTTTTGTTCTGACAGTTTTCTGATTCTTCAATAATTCTTTCCCTTAGAACATTTTCTAAATGGTTTTATTCAAAGAGATTGATATAATTATACTCATAAATTCTAAATTGTTAAGTGGTATCATGAATATTTATTTTTTAAATCAATTCATTTGTTTAATAGTATTTCCCCTTTCTAGCCTTTCTAATAGCAAACTATTTTTTACTTTATTTGCGATTTTAATCTGTGTGCACGGTCCAAATAGCATCTAAGCTGCCTTACATTGTTCTGCACTGCTTATAACCACAGCATTCCTGGAAACATCTCAATTTAACAAAATTTGTGACTAGAAAGTTTAGTAAATAACAGAAGTTGAACTGATTAGCATTGCTCTTTGTAACACTTTGAGGCAACTCCTTTCTTTATACATATACACAGATAATAAATGAAAAAAAATTGGAAATATATGACTTTCAAAAAGAAAGTTAAATATTTCCATGCAGTTGAAACTGAACAAACTATTTTACATGAGTGATCTGTGGGGATTTTTGACACTTTAGGTCTACTTAGCTCTGTGTCTGGGTGGAAAGAGATGTGGCCAGAAGATTAGTTCCTGAAGGATAATGTGGACAACAATTGTTCATTTTGAAGTGGAAAGCAAAAGTCAGTCAGAATTGAAAGCCTGTGTCCTCTGAGGAGAGGCTGGTGATGGGGTCTCCAGTTTATGAAGATACAAAAAGAGCAGTTACCAACCACTTCTTGGGGTTCGGGTCTATAACAAAGTATGGCACCATATTCATAGAAAAAAGGACATATAATTATGCAACCAGAAATTAAAGCTATAATGTATCTGGCTGCTATTTCAAAATTCCCAAATCCATGGAGATGCAGAAGGCCTAAATCACCAATGCTGCAGTCCCAAAAATAATAATGACCACAAAACCACATGAAATTTTAAGAGCGAATATGGTTGAGGTGGGCAGCAATGGAAAACCTTCTTCAAAATATTTGGTAAATCAAATTTCCAAATGACATAAAGAAATCTATTGCTAAGAAACACAGCAAAGAAAACAATTTAGTGTAAATGAATGTAAATGTTGAATAGTCTGACAAAATAATTTAAATATTTAGAATAATTACAGAATAAATATCATGCATAAAAATACAAAAAAGATAAAATATTATGAAGAACTTTCTGCTTATAAATTTGATAACTTGGAAAAAAGGGACTAATTTTAAAAACATAAATTACCAATGTCCAGTTAAGAAGAAATAGATGAAATCATGCATATGTCAACACAAAATACACTAGTTTCCTTTTATCCTCAGTTACACTTTCCATTTTTTTTTTTTTTAACCTATGCTCAGAAATGCAATAGTAGGCTAATGCTATAACACAGCACCTACATTATTCACTTCACTTTATCTCATTATATAAGAATTTTGTGATCTCATATCATCACCAGATGGGTGAGTCCAGTACAATAAGATATTTTGAGAGACTAGGGGAGAGAGAGAGAGAGAGATGCCCACATAGCTTTTATTGTAGTATATTATTATAATTGTTCTATTTTATTATTCATTATTTTTAACCTCTTACTATGCCTATTTTATACATTACATGTTATTGTAAGTATATATACAGAAAAACAATATATATCCGCTTTGGTACTAGTCACGGTTTCAGGCATTCACTGGGGTTATTAGAATGCAGCCCCCTCTGATAAGGGGGAAACCACTGTATCTGTAGGCACATGTTTAAAGTGGCTCTATTTGTAATCACCAGAACTTAGAACATTTGTCCTTCAATTGTTTAATGGACAAATTAACTATGGTATATTTTTACAATGGAATACAAGGTTACAATAAAAAGAAACAAAGCACTGATATGGATGACGATGGATGTGGATGAATCTTAAATACATTTTGCCCAGTCATAATGCCAAACTCAAGGCTACATCCTGTATGATTCAAGTTCTATGACACTCTGAAAAAGGCAAAATTAAAGGACAGAAAATAAATCAGTGTTTGTCAGGACATGGCTTTTGTGGTAATGGATTTATTGTAAAAGGGCACAAGGGAATTTGAAAGGTGATGGAAATATTCTCTATCTTGATTGCAGTGGTGTTCATACAATTGTCTTATTGTTTTAGCTAGGACTTCCAGTGTAATGTTGTAGTGGGGATAATGGGCATTTAATCTTGTTTCTGATCTTAAAAGAAGGCTTTCAGTCTTTCATCAATGAGGGTAATAGGATTTTTGGTAAATGCCTTTCAAGATGTTAAGTTCTGTTCTATTCCTAGTTTGATGAGTGTTTTTATTATAAAAGAGTGTTAAATTCTGTTAGATGCCTTTCTGCATATATTGAGATGATTCTGTGTCTGTATGTATATGTTTGTGTGTGTGTGTTCATTCTATTGATGTAGTATAAAACATTGATTGATATCATATGTTGAACAACCTTGCATGCCTGAGATAAATTCCACTTGGTCATAGTTTATTATCATTACAATGCACTGTTGGATTAGGATTCCTAGTGTTCTGGTGAGTATTTTTTACAACTGTATTCATAAGGTATATTAGTCTGCAGTTTTCTTTTCTTGTGGTAACTATGTCTCGCCTTGATATCAGGGTAATGTTGGCATCATAGAATGTGTCAGATGTGCCCTCCACTTCTATTTTTTTGGAAGAGTTTGAGTAGGACTGATGTTAATTCTTTACATGTTTCATAGAGTTCACCATGGAATGTTTTCTGGTGGTGGGCTTTCTTTGCTTTTTATTTTGAATAAATTGATTATAGTATGTCTTGGTATAAATATCTTTGAATTTATCCTTCTTGAACTTCATTGCAATTCTTGGATATATAGCTGCCTTCCTCAAATTTAGAAAGTTTTCATTTATTATTATTTATATATGTATGTGTATGTACATACATATAGACATGTTAATGTGAAGATTATGTCTATATGTGAATATGGATATTTGTGTGTGTATATACATAATCACTATTATAATCTGTTCATTCTCAATCTCTTCTCCTTCTGGGATTTACACAATGTGTACTTTGGTAGTGCTGGTAGCGTCTCTTGGGTCTTTTAGGCCCTGTTTATTTTTTCTCATTGTTTTTTTTTCCTACAATTCTTGGAATTGACAATTTCCGTTGTCCAAATTTTAAATTCACTGAGTCTTCTGTCTCCACAGGTCTGCTGTTTGAATCCCTATAGTGAACTACTGTTTATTTCAACATTTGAGGAAAAGGAGACAGGCACAAAAGTATACATACTTCATTATTTCTTTTCACTAAAGCTTAAAAATGGGCAAAACTATTTAGTATGAGTTTCTCTTAAATAATAAAACACAATAACCAAACAAGAGCGAAGCAATTTTTTTTCAAAACCATAAAATTCAGGAGAGTGGAAACCTTTACAGAATGAGTAGAATGTGATAAGAAAGGTAAATAAGGTAGGGGAAGAGGGTTCTGAGGTGTCATCAATATCTTACTTCTTGTTCTGGACAGTAATTATATGGATATGTACCTAATATTAGATAATTAAGTTAAATATTTATATTTTATTCACCTTCTATTAATGATATATGTGTTGTACTCAAAACTCAAAAAAGTGTAAGAAATTTTATCACTACGAAATTTGAATGATTTCCCTCAGAAAATAAGGGGTAAATTTACCAGCCTGCATGTGAAAGTTTGTAAATAATAATCAACACCAATAAGGAAAATGAAATTAAATGAGGCACCCTGACTTTTCTCTGACTTTTCTTTTTCCTGACTTTTCTCAACATTTGTTAAATAAATGTGCATATTTAGCTTAAGAAATCACTGTCCTTTCAGTCTCCCTGAGTTAAGTTTAAATGACAGAGGACCTATGAACAGCTGGCCCATTTTCCATTCTATAGATGTGTTTCAAATAGGAAGTTATTCATTTCCATTACATCAGTTAATAGACTACCATATCAAACACTGCTGTGTTTCCTCTCTTGGTAACATTTCTGTGATTTACATTTCCCTTTATTGAAGGTTGTTATTCATGAACTGTGGGTCCTTCCAAAGCTGATTTTCATCAAACATGACCTTTCATGTTTTTCCGTTGTAATGTAATGCAACTTACTTAGTGTAAGATTAGCATTCATGTCAATCACAAACCTACTCACCATATCTATTTTACTCAGTCATCAACCAGAAGACACATACATTTCATTCTAAATATAAAATAATCTGTCTTGTGTATGTGAGAAAAGAAGTCCACCTCCTTTTGCACTGTCTTTCATTTTTCAGTTTCTTTAAGTTAAGATTACAGATGATGATTTTCTATAGTTTTAGGTCCATGGTAGTTTCTGATCCAATTATGCCACAGAGTATTAGGAACCCTAAACCCAATAAGCCTGGTTAAGTTTTCTAGATATGATATCGTGGTAACAATCATGATTGTCTTCCTCCAACCTCAGAACTAGTATCTAATCCAACAGAGATGAGCCATGAGTTTCAACACTTGCTAAGATTGGATCATTCAAGTTACAACAATTTATGTTCCAATCAGTCTTAAGTCTTGTTTACAGTGTGAAAAGTCACACTGCCTAGTCACTCTTAGGAACTGGTCAATCTCTGACTCGTGTCTTCTGACTAGGACCATGGCATCTGACTAGTTCCTTTTGCCACCACACTTTTTTATGAAAGCTGAATCATATCTTCTGTACATCCTACCCTCCCATCAATCCCGACCCCTGGAAGCACTGCTGTGCATGAAGATTTTGTCAGGAATGACTTTCTCTCACTTAGTTCCCAATCCACTTTTAATTAGCTAACTTCCAATTTGTTTATATCCCTAATAAATCAATGTTCTCTAGAGGGTCACAAACAAACTTGCAAAGTACAATGCAGTGGTCTATTCTAAACCTTTACTTCTTTAACCACTTCAGTGCATCTGATTTTTCAAATTCTTTTCTCTGGCTTTTCTAGCACTGAAACAATCTACCTTTGGAAATTTTGTTATCCATCTGTTGTCTACTTTTTCCCAGACTCAAGATGTGGGAATTCCATTCTTAGTTCTCTTCTCTGATCTATCTCCATACCTTGACAAACTCTTAACAATTTTAAGTCTATATGTATAACTTGAGTAAAATATCAGGTGGCAATAAACACAAGATTCAGTGGTAGATTTCATCTAAAGTTGATCTTAACTGAAAAAGCAAGAAAATGCATGTAGAATATGCAGTTAAAATATTTCATGTGACTTATATTTGAATAATAATAGTAATGATAACAGATAAAACTAACATGTAATAGCGCTAGCTGCTTTATTTAGACCTATTTACTAGATGTGTCAGTATTATTCAAATCCACAGAATAAAGGACTGAAGAACAGAGCATTTAGCTAAATTTTCCAAAGTTACTCCTATATAAGCTTTGGTACTGGGATTTAACACCTGGCATTATGGATCTAAAGTGTTGTGTTCTTGATCACATTTTCAAGTAAATACTTTTCCCTTTGGAAACTAAAAACGACGAGGGAGATAATAAAGGTTTGCTATCTAACAACTAATACCCACTTCATCTTAGTTAACTTACTAACCTCCCATCATTTGTCCACATATTAGAAGGCAATTTATAAGCGGAAATATAAAAATATAAGAGAACGATTTTCTGGGAGTCAAAAGTTTTCCATTATCATGTGTTTGTGTCTGTGTGTGTGAGAGAGAGAGAGCGACAGAGAGATAAAGAGGAGGAAGGAGAGGAGAAGAATTATAAGAGGAGAGGAAAGAAGGAAAAAAAAAACAGAAAAGAAGACAGAAGAAAGGTGAGGAGAAGCAAAGAGAGGTCCCTAACTTCTTTCATTCTGATTTGGTACAATACTGTGTACAATTGGACCCATGATAGCAATGTTCTATGACCACAGGGAGAGATGATATTATTTATGAGGGGAAATGCTATGTCGGGGGCACCAATTATTAGGGGGACCAGTCAATTGCCAAAGCCTCCAATTATGATGGGTATTACTATGAAAAATATTATGACGAATGCGTGGGCCGTGACGATAACATTATAGATATGATCATTACCTAGAAGGTTGCCGGGTTGACCTAGTTCAGCCCGCATAAGGAGGCTTAAAGCTGTGCCTAGGACCCCAGCTCAGGCACCGAACAACAGGTATAATGTTCCCATATCTTTGTGAATTAGTTGAGAACAATCAGCGGTTGGTGAATATAGGTGGGGGGCGGGGGGGCGTAAAATGGCTGAGTAAGGCATTAGACTGTAAATCTAAAGACAGAGGCTAAACCTCTTTTTACCAGCCCTGAGGTGATTATCATGTTGAATTGCAAATTCAAAGGAGCAACTTCAATCCTGCGGGGGCTTCTCCCACCTTTTTCTCCCCGCGGCGGAGAAGTAGATTGAAGCCACTTGATTAGGGTATTTAGCTGTTAACTAAATTTTTGTGGGTTTAAGTCCCGTTAATCTAGTAAGGGTTTAGCTTAATTAAAGTGGCTGATTTGCGTTCAGTTGATGCAGAGTAGGGTTTTGCAGTCCTTAGGTATTGCAGAAATTAAGTATTATTTACTTACTGAGGGCTTTGAAGGCTCTTTGTCTTGTTTAACCTAAGTTTCTAGGAGATAGATAAAGTGGGGAGATTGGTAGGAGGAAGGTGGCGAGGATGGTTAGTGGGGGGAGGAGTAGTATGGGTTTTGTGTTTTCAAATTGTCACTTTATTTTTACATTGTTGTACATGGGGAATAGTGTAATTGAAGCAGAGTAGATTAGGCGTATGTAAAAGTATAGGTTAAGGAGGTTATAATAGCTATAGCAGTAGGAATGGTAAGGTTATTATTTTTTGTAAACTCTTCATGATAATTCATTTGGGTAGAAAGCCAGTTAATGGGGGAGGGCCTCCTAGTGATAGTAGAATAGATGGGATCATGGGTGTTAGTCAGGTTAATTTGTTTCAGATGCGAGATAGTAATAGCGCTGTAGTGCTTGAGTTTAGGTTGAGTACTAGGAATGCGGTAGTTGTTAGAGTAATATATATGGCCAGGTTAAAAATGGTAATATTTGGGTTGTATATTAGCACTGCCATTATTCAGCCTGTATGAGTGATTGAGGAGTATGCTAGGATTTTACGTAGTTGTGTTTCATTAAGTGCACCTCAGCTGCCTGCCATGATAGATAAAATTGAAAGGGTAAGGAGAATATTTATGTTTACTAATCAGGAGATTTGATATATAATTGAAGTAGGGGCTAGTTTTTGTCATGTGAGGAGTAGGCCAACACACAGAGGGTGGTAGAGTGGAAGTTTATAAAAGACTTGGGCCCGTCCATGGGACCAATTATCTCTATAATTTCTAAAACATGAGGAACATAGGCTGCTGTTGTTTATAGCACCATTAATCAAGTGTCCTTTTACTTGCATCTGGAGAGACTCTAACATAGGTCTGAACACTGCTACTTTGTGCCGTCAGATACTGTGTTACAGAGACAGTGAAGAATTTAAGATGCAGAAGCAGATTGCCTTTAAAAACTTATGTGAGCATCTCAACCCACTCCTTACACTCCAGCTTCCTCAATTACAAAATGGAAATAATTATAGTAAATAATTTGTTTTTATTTTTATTATCAGCATCATATTCCTACCTTTATTTTTATTGTAATTATTCCTTTGTGGCTAAATTTTAAATATTCCTTTCTTGCCCTGATGTTTCATCTACATATTTCTAATCACCTTCACATTATACGTAACAGATTGCTGTTACATTGTCTTTAAACATTTTATATGCAAGTTAAATATGGAGACAGTTTTAAATCAGCAGATTATGGATGTCTGTTTGAAGGCACACAAGTGAAAAATTTCCACGAAAAGTCTTGATTGGAGAATCTAGAGATTGTTTAGTAAGTGATGGGATCCTGAAAACTAGCTATAAAGCCCAAAGAGAAATGACTGCTGAATAAAGATGTAGTTTCCCCAAATAGTAAGAATTAAACATCAAAGGCCACAACATTGCTATGAATAATTATATTGACTATGCAGAATTACACTGAACTAATTAAAGTACCTTGAGCCTTGACGTTTTCATTTTTGTGACAAGAAATGCTCGTCCCCTTATCTATGTTCACTAATTAGTGGTAAAATTTGCTGGTAAGAAAAATGTCATGCAATCAGTTCTGTCTGTGAAGTATTTCTCTTTGATATGGTTTTCTTCTGAACATTTTTACGTAACATCTTTTTTATCATAAAATTTAAATGGTTAAAATAAAATTGTTATTTCCACCCTAAAATAACAATAATTTAAAAATCTGACTCCTTGTCATCTACCCATTCAGTCTCGATTGCTTAGAGTCATTTAGTTTTTCTCTTCTTCATGCACCCTATCAGAATCGTTCTCAGAACTTTTCTTTTTCCTTTCAATCTCTGAATAACCTTCTTTAATTTCTACTACTACCACACTCAGATCTATATTACTTAATTCTTAAATTTACCACAAAAACCTCTACCTGCTTTTCCTTATTCTAAGCTCTGTACTCTCCAATTAAGATTATCCTTCCTAGTGTGACTTCCTCTCCTTGAAAGTCAGTTGAAACTTTCAGTCCCAGAGTTAATCTATCACAATTATAGAATACTTTAAATAGCAAACATATACCACCATATCTACCCTGACAGATGACCTCAACCTAACATCTTTCTGCTTGAATTATATAACAAAACAGGGTTGTCAGCCTCTGCACCACAGCTGATCCTCAGGAGACCCAGTCTCAGTTTCGGCCCTTCTCACTGCAGTTGCAGAATCTATTCCACCTGTGAAGTGACCTGCTGAGAAACAAGCACCCATCTGAACCAATGAGATGTGCTGGGGCTGAACAGCCTCTATGTAACAGCAGATCCTGAGGGGGACAGTCTCAGCTCTAGCCCTTCTTTCTGCAGTTGGGAAACCTCTCTGCCCCTGCAAGGAACTACTAGAAGGCACATCCATGTAGGCCATCTGGGCACACTCACTAGCTTTCATCCCACAGCACATCTTGGTGGTCCAGTCCTGGCTCAGGGTACTCTCTCTGCAGTCCCAACTGTGCAGAGTAATCCTGGGAGACACTCCAGTTTGGGCCCTGGGACAGGCTTACAGGCAAGGGTCCTGGCCAGCCTAGGTACCCTCCTTGTTCTTCCCCAGGTGATAAAACCCAGATGGAAGAACCATGCCAATCTCGGAGCCCTAGCAAGATTCACAATACACATGGGCTTAGAGCACCCTCCAGTGCTGAGACAGCTGCAGTGTCCGTGGGCTCATGGAACATAACAGTCTGCTTAGAACCTCTGGAAGACCCACCGAAGAAGGTCAGACACAAACAAAGCCAGAATATGAATATTAAAATATGGAATCCCTCCATGTGGAGAACATATTGCATGTCCATAAGCATAAAGAACTTTCAGAGAAATGTGACCTCACCAAACATACAGAATAAGGAGTCAGAGACTGACCTTAAAGGTATGAAGATATGTGATCTTGCAAACAAAGAATTCAAAATAGCTGTTTTAAAGAAGTTCAGTGAGTATCAAGGAAATACAGAGAAATTATTCAAGATTATCAGAGAAATTTATCAGAGATATTGAAATAATTTTTTTAAATTTAACAGAAATCCTGGAGTGAAAAATACAATGACTAAATAAATAATGCAATAAAGAGCATCAACAGCAGAATTGTTCAAACAAAAGAAAGAATCAGTGGGCTCAAAGACAAAATATTTGAAAATACACAGAGAAGAAAGAAAAAAGGATAAAAAAGAAGAGAAAAAGCTTATGAAATCTATGGTGCCACATCATAAAAGCAAATATCTGTGTTATTGGATTTCAAGGTGGAGCTAAGAAAGACAAAAGAGTAGAATTATTATTTCAAGAAATATTAGAAAGCTTTCCAAACCTAGAGAAATGTATAAATATCCAGGTCAGGAAAATCAAAGGTCAGTAATCAGATTTAACCCAAATAAGACTACCTTGAGACATAATCAAACGCTTAAAGATCAAAGACAAAGAGAGGGTCCCAAAATCTTCTGAGAGAAAAGAGGTAAAAAACATATAATGTAGCTCCAATACATCTGGCAGCTGACTTCTCAGCAGAAAACTTGCCAGCCAGGAGGAATCATTCAGAATGATGAAGAAGGGGAAAGAAGCTTCAACCAAGAATTCTGTACCCAACAGAGCTATCCTTCAGAAATGAAGAAAAGATAAATATTTTCCCAGACAACCAAAGTTGAAGTAATTCATTACTACTAGACATGTCATACAAGAAATAACGAAGGAGGTCTTCAAACTGAAAGAAATGCACACTAACCTGTTACAGAAAAACATTTGAAGGTAAAAAATTCACTGGCAAAACTAAGTATATAGACAAAATTAGACTTACTTTAATACTTATTCTAATACTATTTTAGTGTTATGTAAGCAATTATATAATTATATCTTTAGTTTGATGACTAAAAGACAAAATTATTAAAAATGATAATAACGACCCTAACTTATTAAGAGATAGGCATTATAAAGAGATGTAAAATGTAATATCCAAAATTCAAAATGTGGAGAGTCAATGCAATTAAAGAGGACAGGTGTTTTTGTGTGTTTGTGTGTGTGTCTGTGTGTGTGTGTGTGTGTTGGTTATTCCTAGCCTTACAATTAAAGTTAAATTGTTATCAATTTATAGTAACTTGTTATAACTATAAGATGTTTTGGTAAACTTTATGGTATGCACAAAGCAAAAAAATAACAAATACACTAAAATTAAAAAACAGCAATCAAAACACACTATTAGAAAAAACCATTTAACCAGAAAGGATGACAGACAGGGGGAAAAAAAACAATCTACAGAACAACTAGAAAATAAGAAAAAACAAAACCAGCAGGATTAAGTCCTTACCCATAACAATTATTTGAATATAAATGAATTAAATTCTATAATTAAGGAACATAGAATGGCTGAATGGATTAAAAAAATAAGACCCAGTTACATGCTTCCTATAAGAAGGTCACTTCACCTAGACACACATAAATTGCATGAATGTGATAAGATATTATGTGTAAACTGAAACCAAAAAAGGGGAAGAGTAGCTATATTTATATCCTATAAAACAGACTTTAAGTCAAAAGTAGTACAAAAGACAGAGAATGTCATTATGTAATGATAAGCATATATAATAATTTTAAGTAAACATGCATAAAACACTGAAGCACCTAAACATATAAAGCAAATATTAATAACCTACACAGAGATAAACCTCAATACAGTAATAGTAGCAGACTTTAACATCCCACTTTCAGCAATGGATGTATCATCCTGACAGAAAATCAACAAAGAATCCCCAGAGTTAAACTCTACCCTAGACCAAATGAACCTAACAGACATTTACAGAACATTCCATCTAACATCTGCAGAATATACATTCTTCTTACAGAAGATAAAACAGTCTCCAGGATAGACCATATGTTAGATCACAGAACAAGTTTCAATGAATTTTTAAAATGCAAAATTAAATTAAAATTTTTTTCTGATCACAATGGAATAAAACTACAAATCCAGAAACTGTACAAATACACTGAAAGTAAACAACATGCTCCCAAACAACCAATGTCTCAAAATTTTAACATTTCTTGAGACAAACTGAAGTGGAAACACAGCATACCAAAATCTATGGGATTACAGCAAAAGCATCTCTAAAGGAAAGTTCATAACAGTGAACTCTTACATCAAAAAGCAAGAAGAGGCCAGGTGCGGTGGCTCAGGCCTGTAATCCCAGCATTCTGAGAGGCCAAGGTGGGAGGATCACTTGAGGTCAGGAGTTTGAGTCCAGGGTGGCAACATCATGAAACACCGTCTCTACTAAAAATACAAAAATTACCTTGGCATGGTGGTGGGTGCCTGTAATCCCAGCTATTTGGGAGGCTGAGGCAGGAGAATCGCTTGAACCTGGGAGGCAGAGTTTGCAGTGAGTCGAGATCAGGCCTCTGGATTCCAACCTGGGTGACAGAGCGAGACTCCATCTCAAAAATAAAAAATAAAAATAAAAAAGTAAAAGAGCTCAAACAAACAAACTAATATTGTACTTCAAGAGTGGTGTGCGTCTAACTGAGTTGCTGAAGCAAGGACAGTATTCTCCCATGGCTATTGAAGAACAAGTGGCTGTTATCTATGTGGGTGTAAGGAGGTATCTTGATAAATTGGAGCCCAGCAAGGTTACAAAGTTTGAGAATGCTTTCTTGTCTCGTGTTGTCAGCCAGCACCAGGCCCTGTTGGGCACTATCAGGGCTGATGGAAAGATCTCAGAAGAACCAGATGCAAAGCTGAAAGAGATTGTTAACAAACTTCTTGGCTGGATTTGAAGCTTAAACTCCTGTGGATTCACATCAAATACCAGTTCAGTTTTGTCATTGTTCTAGCAAATTAGTTCCATTTGTAAAAGGGTTACTCTCATATTCGTTATGTACAGAAGTCACATGAAAAGTAAAGGTTCCATAATGGCAAAAAAAAAAAAACTAGAAAATTAAGATCAATGAAACCAAGCCCAACATTAGTAGAGGAAGAATATAATACATATCAAAGCAGAAATGAACAAAAAAAAGAAAAAAATACAATAGATTAATGAAATAAATAATTCATTTTCTAAAAGAAAAAAGAAAACTTTAGCTGGAAGCTAGACTAAGAAAAAAAGAGAGACTACTCGAGTATTAAAATCAGAGATAAAAAAATAAGACATTTCAACTAATACCACAGAAATATAAAGGATTATAAGAGACTATTATGAACAAATATACACCAACAAATTGGAAAATTCAGAAGAACTGAACAAATCACTGAACACATCCAACCTCCCAAGACCAAATTATAATGAAATAGAAAACCTTAACAGACTAATGATGAATAATTGTATTGAATCAGTAATAGAAAATCTCCCATCAAGTAAAAAAAAAAAAAACACAGGACATAATGACTTCACTGCTAAATTCTACCAAACCTGTATAGAATAACTAATACCAATTATACTCAACCTCTTCAAAAAAATTGAAGAAGAAGGAATACTTCTAAACTCATTCTACAAGGTCACTATTACCTTAATACCAAAACCAGACAAAGACATAGTAAAAAAGGCGAAACTACAAGTCAATATTCTCGACGAACACAGATGCAAAAATTCTCAACAAAAGAGTAGCAAACAGGATCCAAAAGCACACAAAAAAGATTATTCATTATGTTCAAGTGGGATTAATCCCAGGGATGCGAGGATAGTTCAAAATATGCAAACCATTAAATGTTACGTTAACAGAATGCAGGACAAAAACCACATGATTGTATCAATAAATGCAAAAAAGCCTGTGATAAAGTCCAATATTCCTTCATCATAAAATTCTCAACAAATTAAATATAAAAGGAATGTCCCTCAACACAATAAAGGCCTTATATAAGAAAAACACAGTTAGTGTCATACTAAAGAGGCAAGTGGAAAGCTTTTACTCTAAAATATGGAATAAGACAAGAATGCCCACTTTGATTACTTTTATTGAACATAGCACTAAGAGTCCTAGCCACAGAATTAGGCAAGAGAAAGAAATAAGGGACATCCAAATGAGAAAGAAGAAAATTAAATTGTTCCTGTTTGCAGGTGACATGACCTTATATATAGAAAATCCTATAGACTATACCAAAAAAAAGTTAGAACTAATGAATTCAGTAAAATTGCAGGATACAAAATTAACATACAAAAATCAATACCATTTGTACATGCTGATAATGAAAAAGAAATAAGAAAGCAACCCTATTTACAATAGTGGCCAAAAATATAAAATACCTAGGAATTAATTTAACTGAGAAGATAAAAGATCTCTACAATGAAAACTACAAAAAAATCTGTGAAATAAATAAGTAGAAAAATATTTTGTGTCATGGATTGAAAAAAAATAATATTGTTAAAATGTTCTTACTACCCAAAGTTATCTATAAATTCAGTGGAATACCTATCAAAATACCAATGAAACTCTTAACAAAAATAGGAAAAGTTATCCTAAAATTCATATAGAACCATAAAAGACCCCATATACCCAAAGTAATTTTGAGCAAAAAGAACAAAGCAGGAGGTACCACTCTACCTGACTTCAAAATATACTAAAACACTATAGTATCTATAACAGCCTGGTATTGATGTAAAAACAGACTAAAAATAGAACAAAATGAAACAAAATAAAGAGCCCAGAATTAATGCCATGTATATCCAACTGGTCTTTGACACGAGTGCCAAGAACGCACACTGGGGAAGAACAGTTTCTTCAATAAATGGTGCTGAGAAAATTGGATATCCATATGCAGAAGAATGAAACTATCTCTCGCCACTTAAAAAAATCAACTAAAATGGACTAAAGACATAAATGTAAGATCCAAAACTGTAAAACTACTAGAAGTTTTTAAGGTCTTTGCCAAAAAGCCACTTCCCAGACCAGTGTCCTAAACCGTTTCATCTAGTAGGGCAGCATCAATAATTTCTAATGGTTTTACCATCATTCTTCTTATTTCTATTTTTTCTTCTACTAGTTTCTACAACCACTGAAATCTGATTTCTATTACAATTTTACTGAAATCACTTTTGCTACAATCATTCACAATCTTCTGATTATTAATAGCCATTTTTAATTCCTTTATACTCTGTGGCCTAATTTGATGCTGATGATTTAATATCAACTTTTTCTGTATCTTTTTCTACTATTCTGGTCACTTGATTTTATTCTCCTTTATAAGCTATTTCTTCTATGCTCCATTTTACGATATGATAATTCCTAGTCTTCTTTATACCCTTTTGTTTTTAATATATCCTAGGAACTGGTGACCCACAAACATGTCAATGTACAAGAGCATTTTGTATTTCCACTCCTGTGTTTCTGATTTTCTATTAAATATATCCAAGTACATGCATCCAAAAGCTGTAACACTTGATAGTTCCAAAATGATTCCATCAATTTTTGCCAGCAGGCATGAGAAAGCAAACAATATTATAGAAAGATAAGATGGTCTATGTGGCCCATGATCCATGACTATGTGAATGTTATCTCCACTTCCTCAAATGTCAATGCCTGAAGCCTGAGCCTCCTCCTAAAACTCAAACTTTCCTCAATCTCTACAAATATAAAGTCAACAATGATTAAAAATTTTACTTCTTTTTTTGTACTTTTTTAATTTCCAACTTTTATTTTAAGATCCAGGTTACATGTGCAGGTTGTACAGGTTTGTTACATAGGTAAATGTGTGCCATGGTGGTTTGCTGCACCTATCAACCCATCACCTAGATATTAAGCCCAGCATCCATTAGCATTCTTCCTTATGCCTTCCTTTCCCCTTACCCCCGACAGGCCCCAGTATGTGTTGCTCCCCACCATGTGTCTGTATGTTCTCATTGTTCAGCTCCCACTTATGAGTGAGAACATGTGGTGTTTGGTTTTCTGTTCCTGTGTTAGTTTGCTGAGGATGATGGCTTCCAGCTTCATCCATGTCCCTGCAAAGGACATGACCTCATTCCTTTTTATGGTTGCATAGTATTCCATGGGATATATGTACAACATTTTCTTTATCCAGTCTATTGTTGATGGGCATTTGGGTTGATTCCATGTCTTGGTTATTGTGAATAGTGCTACAATGAACATACACGTGCATGTATCTTTAAAATAAAATGATTTATATTTCTTTGGGTATATACCCAGTAATGGGGTTGCTAGGTCATATGGTATTTCTTCTTCTAGATCTTTGAGGAATCACCACACTGTCTTCCACAATGGTTGAACTAATTTACATTCCCACCAACAGTGTAAAACTCTTCCTTTTTCTCCGCACCCTCACCAGCATCTGTTGTTTTTTGACTTTTTAATAATCACCACTCTGACTGGGGAAAGGTGGTATCACATTGTGGTTTTGATTTGCATTTCTGTAATGATTAGTGATGTTGTACTTTTTTTCGTATGTTTGTTGGCTGCATGACTGTCTTCTTTGGAGTAGTGTCTGTACATGTCCTTTGCTCACTTTTTCATGGGTTTTTTTTTCTTGTAAATTTGTTTAAGTTCCTGGTAGACTATGTATATTAGACTTTGCCAGATGGATAGATTGCAAATTTTTTCCCCATTCTGTAAGTTGTCTGTTCACTCTGATGATAGTTTCTTTTGCCGTGCAGAAGTTCTTTAAAAATGAATCAATATAAGCTACTTAATGCTACATTGCTGTATCTCTGCATTCCTCTGAATAGCTAACTCTTTGTAGTTTCTAATACTTTCATCTTCAGGACACCTCCCCCACCTTGTTTACCCTAGCACCTTAGCTATTATTACTTGTGTGCTATTCAAAAGGCAATTCTTCATTCGTCCTTACTTGTAATTCAGCTACAGTGAGCTGTCCCATACCTCCATTTCTCTGCTTTAGATTTTTGAAAATTAAAATTCCAATTACACACAAGAAATATCTATATCCTTCATAGGTAGCCAAGATATACACATCTATTTTTTCTTAGTTTTTATTTAAATGGCATTTCTTCCTACCTTTCCATTATAACAGATCTTGAACAATGCCCAGGGTAAGGGAAAAGCAATTATGAGTAGGATGAAAATATTAATAAACTCAAGATTGAAAATAAAACTTTTCAAGCTTCCCCATTTTTTAGATTAAATCATTTTCATTCAACAGGTATATATTTAGTAACTGACATTTACCAAGCACAGTACCAGAGCTAGGAAAAATAAATGCAAAGTGAACTGAACTGCACTTACACACAAATAAAAAAATGTAATGTAATCTGCTCTTTTTTTATGGTATCTCTTTACATACAGTCAAAACAGGCTGATATTGTAGAGTTACTTTCTTAAATTCTTATTTTTTATTTTTGTGGGTACATGGTAGGTGTATATATTTATGAAATACATGAGATACTTTGATATAGCCATGCAATGCACAACAATCATATGAGAGTAAATGGGCTATACATCACCTCAATCCTTTATCCTTTGTGTTACAAACAATCCAATTATACTCTTTTAGTCACTTTAAAATGTATAATTAAATTATTATTGACAATAGTCACCCTGCCATGCTATCAAAAATATTAGATTGTATTCATTCTTTCCATTTTTGGCATGCATTAACCATCCCCACATTCTTCACTATGCAACCCCTCCCAGCTGCTGGTAACCACCCTTCTACTCTCTATCTCCATGAGTTCAATTATTTTAATTTTTAGTTCCCATAAATAAGTCAGAACATGCAAAGTTTGTCTTTCTGTGCCTGGCTTATTTCACTTAACACAATGAACTCTAGTTCCATCCATGTTGTCGCAGATACCAGAATCGCATTTTTTATGGTACTCCATTGTGTATGTGTACACATTTTCTTTATCCATTTATCTGTTGATGGTCACAGCTTGCTTCCAAATATTGGCTATTGTGAATAGTGCTGCAATTAACATGGGACTGTAGATATCTCTTCAATATCTTAATTTCCTTTCTTTTGGGTTTATACCTAGCAGTGGGATTGTTGGGTCATATAGTAGTTATATTTTTAGTTTTTTGAGGAACTTCCGTGTTGTTCTGCACAGTGGTTGTACTAGTTTACATTCCCCCCAGTAGTGTATGAGGGTTCCTTTTTATCCATATGCTCGACAACATCTGTTATTGCTTTTGGATAAAAAACATTTTAATTGAGGTGAGATGATATCTTATTGTAGTTTTGCTTTTCATGTCTCTGATGATCAATAATGTTGAGCACCTTTTTATATACCTGTTAACTATTTGTCCTCCTTTGAGATATGTCTATTCAGATCTTTTGCCCATTTTTAAATCAGATTATTAGATCGTTTTTCTATATAATTGTTTGGGCTCCTTATATGTTCCAGTTGTTAATCCCTTGACAGATGAGTAGATTACAAATATTTTCTCCCATTCTGTGGGTTGTCTCTTCACTTTGTTGATGGTTTTCTTTGCTGTGAAGAAGCTTTTTAACTTGATATGATCCCATTTGTCCACTTTTTGTTTTGGTTGTCTGTGCTTGTGGGGAATTGCTCAAGATATTTTTGCACAGTCCAATGTCGTGGAGACTTTCTTCAGTATTTTCTTTCAGTGATTGCATAGTTTGAGGTCTTAGATTTATGTTTTTAATCCATTTTGATTTGATTTTTGTATATGGCAAGAGATAGGGGTCTAGTTGCATTCTTCTACACATGGATATCCAGTTTCCTCCTCACTATTTGTTGAAGAGACTGTCCTTTCCCCAATGTATGGCCTTGGCATTTTGTCAAAAATGAGTTCACTATAGATGCATGGATTTGTTTCTGGGTTCTCTATTCTGCTCCATCAGTTTATGTGTCTGTTTTTATGCCACTACCATGCTGTTTTCATTAATATAGCTCTGTAGCACAATTTGAAGTTAGGTAATGTGATTCTTCCAGTGTTGCTATTTTTGCTCAAGGTATGTTTGGCTATTCTGGGTCTTTTGTGTTTCCATACAAATTTTACAGGTTTTTTTTCTATTTTTGTAAAGAATATCACTGGCATTTTGATAGGGATTTCATTGAATCAGCAGATTGCTTTGGGTAGTATGGACATTTTAATAATATTGATTCTTCCAATCTATGAACATCGAGTATTTTTTCATTTTCTGGTGTCCTTGCCAATTTATTTCATCAGAGTTTTATAGTTTTCATTGTAGAGATCTTTCACTTCTTTGAATAATTTCATTCCTAAATATTTAATTTTATTTGTAGCTATTGTAAATGAGATTACATTATTGGTTTCTTTTTCAGATTGCTCACTGTTGGCATATAGAAATGCTACTGATTTTTGTATGTTGATTTTGTATATTGCAACTTTACTGAGTTTATCACTTCCAATAGTTTTTGTATGTAATCTTTAGGGTTTTTTTTAAATATAAGATCATACCATCTGCACACAAAAAAATTGGCTTCTTCCCTTCCAATTTGGATGTTCTTCATTTATTTCTCTTGTCTGATTGCTATAGCTAGAATTCCAGTAGTATGTTGAATAACAGTTGCAAAAGTGGGCATCTTTGTCATGTTTCAGATCTTAGAGAAAAGGCTGTTAGTTTTCCTCCACTCAGGATGATACTGGCTGTGGGTCTGTCATTGGTGGTTTTTATTATTTTGAGGTATGTTCCTTCTATATCCAGTTTTTGAGGGTTTCATCATGAATGGAAGTACAATTTTATCAAATGCTTTCTCAGCATCAGTTGAAATAATCATATGCTTTTTCCTTCATTCTGTTGACATGTTGAATCATATTGATTGATTTACATATGTTGAACCATCCTTGTATGTCTGGGATAAATCCCACTTGATCATGATGAAAGATCTTTTTAATGTATAGTTAAATTTTGTTTGCTCATATTTTGTAGAAAATGTTTGCATCAATGTTCATCAGGTATATTTGGCCTACTTTTTTAAAGACTGTCTGATTTTGGTATCAGAGAAATACTGGCCTTGTAGAATGAGTTTGGAAGTATTCTCTGTTTCTCTATTTTTTTAATAGTTTAAGTATGATTGATATTAGTTATTTCTTAAATGTTTGGTAAAATTCAGCAGTGAAGCCTTTGTTTCATGGGCTTCTCTTTGCTAGGCGATTTTTTATATGGTGTCAATTGTTATTCCTTATTGCTCTGTGCAGGTCCGTATTTCTTCATGTTTCAATCTTGGTAGCTTGTATGTATCTAGGAATTTGTCCATTCCATGGTATTCCAATTTATTGGCATATAGTTGCTCAAAGTAGCCTCTAATGATCTATTAAATTTCTGTGGTATTGGATGTAATGTGTTCTTTCTCATCTCTATTTGAGGCTTCTCTGTTTTGTTTGTTTGTTTGAGACGGAATTTCACTCTTGTTGCCAAGGCTGGAGTGCAATGGCGCGATCTCAGCTCACTGCAACCTCCGCCTCCTGGGTTCAAGCGATTCTCCTGCCTCAGCCTCCTGAGTAGCTGGGATTACAGGCATGTGCCACCACGCCCAACTAATTTTGTATTTTTAGTAGAGACGGGGTTTCTCCATGTTGGTCAGGCTGGTCTCGAACTCCCAACCTCAGGTGATCTGCCTGCCTCAGCTTCCCAAAGTGCTGGGGTTACAGGCATGAGCCACCACGCCCAGCCTGTTTTTTTTTCTTAGTTTGGATAAAGGTTTGCCAATTTTGTTTATCTTTTCAAAAAAGCTGCTTTGGGTTATACTGATCTTTTGCATTGTTTTCTTTTTTTCAATTTCATTTATTTCTGCTATATTTTAATTATTTCCTTTCTTCTACTAATTTTGAACTTGGTTTGCTCTTGCTTTTCTAGCTATTTAAGATGCATCATTAGGTTGTTTATTTGAAGTTTTTCTACTTTTCTTATGTAAGCACATATAGCTACAAATTTCCATCTTACTATTGCTTTTGCTGTATCCTATAAGTTTTGGTATGCTGTGTTTCCATTTTTATTTGTTTCAATACATTTTTAAATTTTTTTCTTAATTGATTCATTCACCTGTTAGTCATTCAGGAGCTTATTGCTTAATTTCCATGTATTTGTATACTTTCCAAAATTCCTCTTGTCATTGATTTATAGTTTTATTCTATCATGGTCAGAGAACATGCTTAATATTATTTCAACTTCTTTGAATGTTTTAAGACTTGTTTTGTGACCTAATATATGGTCTATCCTTGAGAAATGATTCATGGGCTGAGAAAACATCATGCATATTCTGCATCTGTTGGATAAAATGTTTTGTAAATATCTATTATGTTCACTTAGTCTAGACTGCAGAATAAGCCTGAAGTCTCTTTGTTGATTTTTTTGTCTGAAAGATCTGTCCACTGCTGTAAGTGAGGTGTTACAGCCTCCAGCTATTATTTTATTGAAGTCTATCTCTCTATTTAGCTCTAGTAATATTTTCTTTATATATCTGGGTGCTCTAGTATTGTGTGCATATGTATTTAAAATTTTCATATCTTCTAGATCACTTGAGCCCTTTATCATTATATAATGACCTTCTCTGTCTCTTTTCATAGTTTTTGTCTTGAAATCTATTAGTGATACAAATATAGCTACACTTTTTCTTTTTTGGTTTCCATTGGCATGGAATACCTTTTTCATCACTTTATTATCAGTGTATGTGTGTCTTGTTCCTATTTGGTTTTTTTTTTTAATCCATTCAGCTACTCTGTCTTTTGAATGGGTAGTTTAGTCCATTTACAGTCAATATTATTATTGATAAGTAAGGACTTACTCCTGCCATTTTTGTTATTTGTATTCTGATTGTTTTCTGGTCTTGTCTTCCTTTTTTGTTTTTCTTTCTTCCTGTCTTCCTTTTAGTGAAGGTGATTTTCTCTGGTTATGTTATTTAGTTTCTTGCTTTTTATTTTTTGTGTATCCTCTGTATTTTTTTAATTTGAGATTACCATGATACTTGCAAATAATATTCATTATTTTAATCTGATGATGATTTTACACTAACTGCACACACAAACAAACAAGAGAAAATGAATAACAACTCTACACTTTGTCTATTCACTTTTTAAGATGTTGTCCTTTGTATTTATATCTCCTTGTACTGTTTATGTCTTGAGAAGTTGTAGTTTTTATTTTCAATTGGTTCATCTTTCAGTTTTTCTACCCAGGATGTGAGTAGTTTACACATCACAATTACAGTGTTATAATATTCTGTGATAATATTCTGTGATTTTTTGCTTACCTACTATTACCTGTAAGTTTTGGACCTTCAGATGATTTATTATTGCTTATTAACATTCTGTTGTTTCAGATGGAAAAACTCCTTTTAGCATTTCTAGTAGGTCTGATGTGGTGTTGATGAAGTCTCTCAGCTTTTGTTTGTCTGAGAAATTTTTTATTTTTCCTTCTTTTTTGAAGAATATTTTCATTGAATATGCTATTCTACGGTAAAATATTTTTTTCCTTCATCATTTTAAATATGTCATGCCACCCTCTCCTGGCCTGTAAGGTTTCTACTGAAGTCTGCTGCCAGATGTGTTGGAGTTCCTTTGCATGTTATTCATTTCTTCTATCTTGCTGCTTTTAGGATCTTTTTTTTTGTCCTCAACCTTTGGGAGTTTGATTATTAAATACCTTTGGGTTAAATTTTCTTTATGTTCTATAACCTTCTTATACTTGAATATTGATATCTTGCTCTAGGTTTTGGAAATTCTATTTTATTATCTCTTTGCATGAACTTTCTGCTTCTATGTCTCTGTCTACCTCCTCTTTAAGGTTAGTAACTCTTAGATTTTCTCTTTTGAGACATTTTCTAGAACTTGTAGACATGTTTCATTCTGTTTTATTCTTTTTTCCCCTCTTCTGTCTGTGTATTTTCAAAGAGCATATCTTCAAAGTCACCAATTCTTTCTTCTGCTTGATCAGTTCTGCAGCTGAGATGCTGATGCATTCGTCAGTGTGCCAGTTGCATTTTCAGCTCCAGAATCTCTGCTTGATTCTTTTTAACTATTTCAATTGCTTTGTTAAATTCGTATGATTGGATTATGAATTCCTTCTGTATGTTATCTTGAATTTCATTGAGTTCCCTCAAAACAGCTATTTTTAATTCTCTGTCTGAAAGATCTATCTTTCCAGAATTGGTCCCTGGTGCTTTATTTAGCTTATTTGGTGAGATCATGTTTTCCTAGATGGCCTTGATGCTTTTGGATATTTGTCAGTGTCTGGGCATTGAAGAGTCAGGAATTTTTGTAGTCTTCATTGTCTGGGCTGATTTGTACCCATCCTTCTTGGGAAGGCTTTCCAGGTATTTAAAGGGATTTGGGTGAAGTGGTAACTTCAGTCACTCCAACTGTATCTGCACTACAGGGCACCTTTAGCCCAGTAATGCTTGGCTCTTGCAGACTCAGAGGTACTGCCTTGGTAGTCTTTTATAAGACCCAGAAGAATTCTCTAGATTATCAGAGAATTCTTGTTCCCTTCTCTTACATTCCCCCAAACTAATGATGTCTTTTTCTCTTTGCTGAGCTGCCTGGAGCTATGGGAGGGGCAATAAAAGGACTGCTGTGGCCACCACAACTGGGACTGCACTGTGTCAGATCTGAAGCGAGCACAGCCCTGAGTCTCATCCAGAGCCCATTATAACCATTGCTTGGCCAACATCTATGTTTGTTCAAACCTCAGCGCTCTACAGTCAGCAGATGGCAAAGCCAACAAGGCTTTTCTCTTTCCCTTTAGGGTGGAAAGTTTCCCCCCAGCCCAGGTAGGTCCAGGGAAGCCATCCAGAAGCCATGCCTGGAGTCCAGACCTTAGGAATTTACCTGGTACTCTATTCTACTGTGGTTGAGCTGACACACCAAAAGACAAAGTTATTCCCACTCTTTTTTCCCCTTTCCACAAGCAGAGGATCCTCACTCCACGGCCACTGCCACCACAGTTCCACAGGGAATACTGCCAGGCTACCACCAATGTTCAATCAAGGCCCAAGGTCCCTTCAGTCAGCTTGTGGTGAACGTTACCAGGCCTAGGTTTACCCTTCAGGGCAGTAAGCTTGCCCTCTTGTCCAGGAAAGGTCCAGAAATGTCATCCAAGAGCCAGTGCTTGGCACTGGTGACCCTAAGAGACCACTTGGTATTCTGCCCCATTGCAGCTGCCAGACAAAGTCACTTTACTCTTCTCTCTGCTTTTCTCAAGCAGAAGCAGTGCCTCCCCATAGCCACCACAGCTGTGAATATGATGAGTGACACCTGAAGTAAGCACCTCTCAGAGTGTCACCTAAGGCCCATGGCATGTACTAACTGACTAATGCTGCTGATTATTCAGGGCCCAAGGGCTCTTTAGTCAGTAAGGGATAAATTCTGTCAGAATGTGGTCTTTCCCTTCAAGGTAGTGGGTTTTCTTCTTGTCCACGGTATGTCTATAAATGTCTAGGAGCTAGGGCCTGAAATGGGTGCTTTGGGACTCAGTCCAGTGCCTCATTCTACTGTGGCTGAGCTGGTATCCAAGTTGCAAGACAAAAATCCATTTACTCTTCCTTCTCCTTTTCTCAAGCAGATGCAAGGAATCTCTTTTGGAGCTATGAGCTGTACTGCCAGGAGTTGGGAGAGGGGTGGCACAAAAGTACGCCTTTGGTCACTCCCAACTGGTGTCTCACTAGGTTACTTGTTCCCCACATCCACTGGCTCTGAGCCCCACACAGCACTAGGACTTGTCTAGGAGTTGCAGTTCTTGTGGCCTAGACTGCCTTTCTTTCTTTTTTTCTTTTTTGAGATGGAGTCACTGGACTGCAGTGGCACAATCTTGGCTCACTGCAACCTCTGCCTCCCAGGTTCAAGCAATTCTGCTGTCTCAGCCTCCCTAGTAGCTGGGATTACAGGCACAGGCCACCTTGTCTAGCTAATTTTTTTGTGTGTGTTTTTAGTAGAAATGGGGTTTCACCGTGTTGGCATGCTGGTCTCAAACTCCTGACCTCAAGTGATCCACCCGCCTTGGCCTCCCAAAGTGCTGGAATTACAGGCACAAGCTACTGCGCCCTGCCAGCCACTGCGCCCAGCCTGCCTTGCAAGTTTAATTGGAATGCCAGAGCACCTTAGCCTACGGCGGTGAGGCTTGCTGAAACTCAAGTTCCAAACAAGGAGACGGACAATTTCTCTTTGGCTAGAGGTTCTAAATGCTCCCTCTGTGGTCATCAGCTGAGTTCTGCAAAGTGTTGTTTTCCACTGTGACAGGGCAGCAGTGAATTCCAATGCAAAGTCCCATAATCACTGCACTTCTCCTCCCCCAAGCATACAGATTCTCCATATCATGCAGTTCCTGCTAAGGAATGGAAAAGGTATGGTGTCAGCAATTCAAGACTATCTCTCCTACTCTTTACAGTGTCTCTTTCAGTGATATCAAATTAAAACCAGGTGATTGCTCACCTGATTTTTGGTTCTTATGAAGGTGCTTTCTTGTGTAGGTAGTTGTTACATTTCATATTCCTGTGGGGAGGACAACTGGTGGAAGCTTATATTTGGCCTTCTTGGTAATATAATTTTTGTAGCAATAGAAGTATGTGTATTTCACAGAAATGACACATAATTTAAACTGATGCTCTCAGTAGTTTATAATCATTAGGAAAGCAGCATGAAAGAAGTGACTCCTAAGCAAAATTGCAGGAGATCAGTGGGAGTGCAAAGATTTACATAAATTGGGAATTTTAGAAACTGGAAGTAGCAAATATCAACATCAGTATGCGGATGGCTCTTTTATGATTTTGTCTCGTTTAGCACCTGATGAGTACAATAGACAAATAATATACATATTTTTATGTAAGAGAGAGAAACTGTGGTAACAGGTGAAAGGTATGACCAACATAGATTTCATAGTTATGAAAAATGACATTCTTCCTAATCCTCATATTATATAACTGAATCTGTTTTGCACTGGGACACTAGATTTTTCTATCTCTTTTATTTATTTATTTTTGAGACGGAGTCTTGCTCTGTCGCCCAGGCTGGAATGCAATGGCACAATCTTGGTTCACTGAAACCTCCACCTCCCGGGTTCAAGCAGTTCTCCGGCCTCTGCCTCCTAAGTAGCTGGGATTACAGGTGTACACCACCATGCCCGATTAATTTTTGTATTTTTAGTAGAGATGGAGTTTCACCATGTTGGCCAGGCTGGTCTCAAACTCCTGACCTCAGGTGATCTGCTGGCCTAGGCCTCCCAAAGTGCTGGGATTACAGACGTGAGCCACCGCGCCCAGACAGATTGTTCTATTTCCAATAATTATCAATATTGCCTCCTTCATTCAAATTTATAAGGTAAGTCTTTCTATGTGGCTACATCTTAATACCACTGCTTTACTCGTATATTTAAGCAGAAAGGATTGGACATCCCTTTTCTGTTTTGGTGGGCTGGTTCCAGAACACTATATAATATATTAGAGCCATGAGAGGTGTTAAAATCCTTAAAATACAGAGCCACAATCCCTCTCTAATAGGTTTGGGAAATCTCTACCTAACAGGAGATAACAAAGTAAGCAGATTCCTGAATATCACACTTGCTTCTCATATTTTCCTGAAGAATGTGGCTGAAATAAATATCACCAATGACCATTATAGGTTTCACTTTATTAGCCATCGAAATATTTGACAACTACTTAATCAATCAAGAATAGGTACCACACAAGAGAGAAACAATTTTTCTAGTTAAAGCAGAAGCTTAAAAAAAGTGTAACTCATTTCAAGAATCTCAAATTTCATGGTGCATAAGAAAATTTACCTATTCTTACATATGCTATCCTATGTCCAGGGAAAGATTCATCCAAAATATTGTACTAGTATCAAAGATTGGGAGAAAGACCCAAAAGGTAATGGTTCTTCTAATGTCTCAAATTTTAAAAAATGAGAGGGAAAATCTCTATAAAAGTTACACATTATAAATCACATTTTCCTGGAACAAAACACCACTTACCTTGGAAATTTTCTCTACAAAATATATTGTCTCTCTTACTTACAAAAAGCAAAATAATAATTACCTGACAAAGAACTACAAATATTTGATTTGCTTAATTACAAGCTCCATCTTTGGTAGAAGCTTTGAACAGGATTTATGTAAACCTTCACTTAATTTGAGAAATATGATTCAGGATTAATTTAGAGTAAGAGAATGCCAAATTAAGTCTTGGGATGAGGTCACACATGAATCTCCAAAGCTGGCTCAGTTCAAGGCATATTTTCATGAAATTGTACATTGTCTTTCATAAAAGAGGTTCTTGAAATGAATGTAACAGATTCATTCATGAATGAAAGGAAAAAATAGGAAAGCAGAAAGATTTGAAAAGAAGCTCATTAAATGTATTTATTTTAAATTAATAACATTGAACAGTTACCATATTTTTATAATCATAACATAAATAATTGAAGTCATGCAGTACAACAAAAATCAATTTGATGAAATAAGGCATCTAATGGAATATGAGTTTTGAAGCAAAATCACATTTTATAATACAAAGATAAAAGTGAAAGCAGATAATACAGAATAAATGTATATAAATGATAATTTGGATTATTTTTCAGATAATTTCACTGTCCTTTCCCTCTCATTGGGAGTGAAATAGAATTCCTTCCTTTAGTAATGTTCAGCTTGGCCATGTGACTCACTTTGGCTAATAGAAGGTAATGATGTTGCTACAAGCAGAGACATGGCTTGGATCCTATTATGATCTTACGGTTTACCAGGAGAGGAATATATCCTAGATTGTCTGAACCTCACAATGGAACATGAAGAGACCATTTGCCTTGTAGGTGCGGGTTCAAGGAAGATGAGACAAATATGGAATAAGCTTGTATCCATTCCTGGAGCCTGGAGCCTGGAGCCTGGGGCCCAGATACTGAAGCCTTGAGTCTAATTTAGTCCAGCTGATTTTCAGCTAACCCTCGCACACATAAACATGAGAATAAATGAGTTTTCTTTCAACTCAAAATAATTTGTCTCTAAGAATTTAATTTGTCTTTAAGAATTAGAAAGAAAAAGAATAAAACCAGGAAGAAAATGTAGTATTGGGATTTTTATGGACAAAATTATTTCTGTCCCAGTTTTTTATATTTATGCCTTTGTTCACTGTGATTATTCTGCAGTTGATTGGTGAAAAAGCATATCTGTATGCTTTTTCAAGATGATTGTTCATCAATGTGTTATTTTAAACAATTTTGATTTTATGTTATATTAAAGAGAATAGCTATAGGAAGCAAAGGGTTGTGTATAATGACCTAGTATTATTTAACAATGAGCTTAACATTTTTAGATAGAAACACAGCCTGATACTTTAAAGGTCTTCAAAACCTGGTACTAATATGTATAAGTTACTCAGTTAAGAAAATACAACAATTTAGGAATGAGTGACGAGGAGAATTAAGGCATATGATAAATGGAATTGCCAGTGGTTGATTTAGACATGTGCAATTGACTATAAAATCAACCATTGGTTTGTAGTTTTATTGCAATTCCATTTCTTCAGGAACAGTCTTGACATATAAAACTATTGAATATTATAGTCAGTAAGATATCATATAATATCTACTTTGTCAAAAAAAAGTATACTTTCTAAATTAATGAACAATTTCCAGGTGAAATACAAAGAGGAGAAATGTGGCATGGCTAACTTTTACTCAAATCCAAGGAGATTTGCTTGTCTTCCACACACATTGCCTTGTATTTAGAGTTATATCCTATAATTAAATCCAGAGGGAATGAGTTGAATTCTCTCTGGTAACTCATCTTTCAATGTTTTCACATAAATTTCAGGAATGTCTTGGTATAATAAAACTAATTGGTCTCCGTGGGAAATACAAAAGTGCATTTTGAAGAGGTTTGCTTTCATTTTACTATGAGTTTTGTTTGGTATATTATTAATATGTAAAATAAAGAAGTAGGTATCTATACATATGCAAAATCAGTCCTATAATCCAAATATTATAATAGATGTATTACATGAGGCCTGTTTCAAGTCAGTTCTATGGAACACAAATTGTACTTTTCAGAAAAATAATGGTATCCCCAAAGATTATTATTCTGGACAAGACTGAAAAATAACTATCTAAACTCCTAAAGCAATTTAAATCCTCCTTGGAATAAGGCAGGGGACAATAAATAAATAAGAAAAAACAAATAAAGCCTAATGTAAATGACTAATAGACTATGTATTAACAATGTTAACATGAAAAAGTAATAAAGAATTTCACTTTTATTTTCAGAAAATTAATGATCTGTACTCTAATTCAGGCATGAACTGGGAGATTCTAGTTTGAAAAGAGGTAAACAAAGTAAACATGGTATTTGACTGTAAAAATTTTAAGTATGTTAGAAGAAACTTAAATTTTCACCGAAGTAGGGCTAATGGCAAAAGTACATTATTTGAGACATTCTCTATAGTGGCAGGACAAGCTGCTGACAGCAAAATTGATCTGGTTGCAAAATGGAGCTCAAGAGAAAATTTAAGCAAGAAGAAAACCATTGGAAACTATGGAATAGGCAATATCTTGAGAGTCTATGAGTCAGGAAAGATGACAAATTCCCAGCAGCAATTAATGGACAGAAAAAGATCAACTAAGAATTTCCTGCCTATATGCCTGCTGAGATAGAAAATTAATCTGAGGGGTTTATTTAAAATATATGGGTTAATGGCTTACTCTTTGTAGCTGAATATAAATGACTTCCTTGATAAAATTAGAACAACGTATTTTTACCACAAGAATATATTTTAAAATAAGTAGTTCAATTAAGTTGACTAGAACTGTCTCCAATGCTTAGCACAGTGTTCAAATCTAGTATGTTGAGAAGAATATAATGGATCATCAATAAATATCAGATAAAAATTAATTTAATTAATATTTTGGGATTAAAAATTAAAATATTAGACATTAACATAATTGTTAATACTATTTTTGACATATTTTAACATACTTTTTAGAAATAATTCTTAGTAATTTTTATGTTGCTGTAATAAATGATATATTTATCTGAAATTCCAAAAAAACAACAACTGAGGTTTAGTGTAGTTTGGTCACAAAAAAAGAGCTAGTAGATAGCAGAGAATATATGCAGATTTAGACTGGCACCAGAGCCTGATCTTTTAGACACTATTCTATATGGGTTTTGAAAATTGAAACAAAGTCCAAATTTGAATCTCAGTCAGATTTCAGACCTGTCTGCACATAACCAGTAAAATAATGGGCAAATCCTTTGGATGTCACTTTTTAAGAAGAAGAGAATGGGAAAGTAATTTGGCAAGGGGATTAGTGGAATTGTAATGTCAGAAAGGTTTCTGCTCAATATCTTTGCCCAAAACTAATGTACCTGTGCCTGAGCTGGTCATCAGGCTAAAGCTTCATTTTCTACTCAGGAAATCAGGGCTGGAAAAAGTAAAAAATTAAGTTTTATAATCTAACTTCATTGACCAAGCATTGGTGTCAGTTGCCCTGAAAATAGAGCATAAACTTGGGTCTGCAGCTTCTTTCCAGTAAGCAATTGAGCTGTGAGTTTCAGCATTAGTCCTTGCAGAACTTTAAGAAATCTTTAATTCTATCCAAAAGGAGATATCTACAACAACTTACTAACTGAAGGGCCATTGGCCCTTGAATAACCAGCAGTGATAACACGGATACGACACTGAGGGACTTGGGTGTGGCTCTGATATTTAATGACTTCAGGTGAAACTCAGCACATTCCCAGCTGTGGCTACAGGGCAAGACTCCTGCTTGAGAAAACAGAGGTAACAGTAAAGGGGACTCTTGTCTTGCACCATACGTACCAGCTCAGCCACAGTGGAGTAGAGCACTAAGTGTCTTCTTCGGGTGCCTGATTCCAGGATTTGGCTCTTGGATGGCATTTTTGGACCTGTTTTGGGCCAGAAGGGATGCCACTGTCCCTGAAGGGTGTCACAGGCCAGGCAGCATTTAGCAGAAGCTTACTGAAGGGCCTCTGGGCCTTCAAGAAACGTCAGTGGTAGTCTCCAGTACTTCCCATGGGCCTGTGGTGGTGTTGTCCACAAGGTGAAGCTCCTCTGTCTTTGGAAAGGGGAAGGAAGAGTGGGATAGAGTGCATCTTCTGGTTTGAGTGCCAGCTCAGCCACAATATAATAGAACATCAGGTAGACTTCTAAGGCTTTTGACTCTAGTTCTTGGCTCCTGAATGGCACCTCTAGACCCAACTAGGGCCCTGGGTGACCTCATCACCCTGAAAGAAAGAACACAGATCTGGCTTACTTTGCCACCTGCTGACTGTATTTCCCAAGGGCCTTGAGCGAGCATAGGCAGTAGCCAAAGAGTAGTTACAGCAGGGTGAGACCAAGTGCTGTGCTGGCTTCAGGTCTGACCCAGCGCAGTCATAATGGTGGATGTTTGTGTTATTCCACTCCCAGGTTTAGGTGGTTCAAAACAGAGACAGAGACTCTGTTTGTTTAGGAGAAATTGAGGGAAGTGAGCAAGAGTCTCTGCCTGGTAATCCAGATAATTCAACAGATTTTGTCAAAGAACATCAAGGCAGTACCTATACAAGTCTGCAAGAACCACAGCAGTACTGGGCTGGGGTGCCACCTAAAGCATCTACAGCTTAGATCAGAGCACCAAAGTCCTTCCAAATATCACCAAAGACGGACTGGTACAAACAAGACCAGACTGCAAAGACTAAAATAAATACCTAACTCTTCAATGCCCAGACACCAAAGAACATCTTTGTTCTTTGCATCAATGCCATCAGGGAAAACAAGACCTCACCAAATGACCTAAATAAGGCACCAGGGACCAATCCTGGAGAAATAGAGATATATGACCTTTTAAGACAGAAAATTCAAAAATAACTGTTTTGAGGAAACTCAAAGAAATTCAAGATGACACAAAGAAGGAATTCAAATCTGATCTGACAAATTTAACAAAGAGATTGTAATAATTAAAAAGAACCAGGCAGAAATTCTGGAGCTGAAAAATGTAACTGGCATACTGAGGAATGCATTAGTCTTTTAACAGCAGAATTGATCAAGCAGAAGAATGAATTACTGAATTTGAAGACAGACTATTATAAAATACACAGATGAGACAAAATTTTTTAAAAAAGAAACATGCATAAAGGATTTGGGAAATGGCCTCAAAGGGGCAAATCTTATTGGTCTTATAGAGAGGTACAGAAAGAGAGGGGTAAAAAGTTCACTCAAAGAGATAATAAGAGAGAACTTTCCAAACCTAGAGAAAGATATCAATATCCAAGTACAGGAAGATTACAGAACACCAAGCAGATTCAACTCAATTAAGACTGCCTCAAGACATTTAATATTCAGACTCCAAAAGATCAAGAATAAATAAAGGATATTAAAAGCAGCAAGATAAAAGAAACAACATACAATACAGCTTCAATATGTCTGGCAACAGATGTTTTAGCGAAAATCTTACAGGCCACAAGAGAATAGCATGACATATTTAAAACACTGAAGAAAAAAAATTTTACGCTAGAATAGTATATCTGGTGAAAATATTATTCAAACTTGAGGGAGAAATAAAGACTTACAGGTTAAACAAAAACTGAGATATTTCATCATCACCAGATCTGTCTTACAAGAAATACTAGAGATAGTTATTAAATCAGAAAAAAGGACATTAATGAATAATAAATAATCACCTGAAAATAAAAACTCACTGGTAATAGTAAGTAAACAGAGAAACACAGAATATTATAACATTGTAACAGTGGTGTGCAAAATACTCTCATCCGAAGTAGAAAGACTAAATGATTAACCAATCAAAAATAATTACCAGAACAACTTTTCAAGACATAGAGAGTACAATAAGATATAACTAGAAACAACAAAAAGTTATAAAGTGGAGGCACAAAGTTAAAGCATAGTGTTTTTATTAGTTTTCTTTTTGTTTGACTGTTGATGCAAATAGCATTCAGTTGTTATCTGTTTAAAATAATTAATTGTAAGATAGTGTCTGCAAGTCTCATGGTAACCTCAAATCCAAAATCACACAAGAGATACACAAAAAATAAAAAGCAAGAAACTAAATCATATCACCAGAGAAAAATTATCTTCACTGAAAGGAATACAGGAAGGAAAGAAAGAGGATAAGACCACAAAACAACCAAAGTACAAATTAAAAAATGGCAGGAGTAAGTTCTTGCTCATCAATAATAACATTGAATATAAATACACTTAACTCTCCATTCAAAAGACAAAGACTGGATGAATGGATTAAAAAAAATGACACCCAGTGATCTTTTGCCTACAAGAAACATGGTTCACCTATGAAGACACATTTAGACTGAATTAAGGGATGGAAAATATATTCCATGCCAATGAAAACCAAAATTAATAATTTAATTGTACATTTTAAAATAACTAAAAGAGTATAATTGGATTATTTGTAGCACAGGGCATAAACACAGTTCTCCATGATGTTAGTATTATATATTGCATGTCTACATCAATACGTCTCATGTACCCCACAAATATATACACCTACTATCTAACCACAATAATTAAACCTTTTTTAAAAGGTGAGTTAAGAATAGATTGTTTCAGAAAGCCAATGGACACTTTGAAAAATAAATAAATAAAAGTGATAAACCTCAGGCAAGTTTGATCAAGACATAAAGAAAAGACAGACACACACGAACTATACAACAGGAATGGCACAGGTGAAAGAACTACATAGCTGAGACATAAACAAGACAAAAGAACGTTATGAAAATAACCCTGTTCCTGTATTGGTTTGCTGAGAATGATGGTTTCCAGCTTCATCCATGTTCCTGCAAAGGACATGAACTCATCCTTTTTTATGGCTGCATAGTATTCCATGGTGTATATGTGCCACATTTTCTTTATCCAGTCTATCATTCATAGGCATTTGGGTTGGTTCCATGTCTTTGCTATTGTGAATAGTGCCTCAATAAACATACATGTGCATCTGTCTTTATCATAGAATGTTTTATAATCCTTTGGGTATAGATCCAGTAATGGGATTGCTGGGTCAAATGGTATTTCTAGTTCTAGATCCTTGAGGAATTGCCACACTGTCTTCCACAATGGTTGAACTAATTTACACTCCCACTAACAGTGTAAAAGCATTCCTGTTTCTCCACATCCTCTCCAACATCTGTTGTTTCCTGAGTTTTTAATAATCACCATTCTAACTGGCATGAGATAGTGTCTCATTGTGGTTTTGATTTGCATTTCTCTAATGACCAGTGATGATGAGCTTTTTTTCATGTTTGTTGGCCACATAAATGTCTTTTTTTGAGAAGTGTCTGTTCATATCCTTTGCCCACTTTTTGATAAGGTTGTTTGTTTTGTTCCTTGTAAATTCTGGATATTAGCCCTTTGTCAGATGGATAGATTGCAAAAATTTTCTCCCATTCTGTAGGTTGCCTTTTCACTCTGATGATAGTTTCTTTTGATGTGCAGAAGCTCCTTAATTTAATTGGATCCCCTTTGTCAATTTTGGCTTTTGTTGCAATTGCTTTTGGTGTTTTAGTCATGAAGTCTTTGCCCATGCTTATGTCCTGAATGGTATTGCCTAGGTTTTTCTCCAGGGTTTTCATGGTTTTAGGGCTTCACTTTAAGTTTTTAATCCATCTTAAGTTAATTTTTGTATAAGGTGTAAGGAAGGGGTCTAGTTTCAGTTTTCTGCATATGGCTAGCCAGTTTTCCCAAGACCATTTATTAAATAGGGAATCCTTTTCCCATTGCTTGTTTTTGTCATGTGTGTCAAAGATCAGATGCCTGTAGATGTGTGGCATTGTTTCTGAGGCCTCTTTTCTGCTCCATTGGTCTATATATCTGTTTTGGAAGCCTTGTATCCCAAAACCATGCTTCTTTGGTTATTGTAGTCTTGTAGTATAGTTTGAAGTCACGTAACATGATGCCTCCAGCTTTGTTCTTTTTGCTTAGGATTGTCTTGGCTATACAGGCTCTTTTTTGGTTCCATATGAAATTTAAAGTAGTTTTTTCTAATTCTCTGAAGAAAGTCAATGGTAGCTCAATGGGGATAGCATTGAATCTATAAATTACTTTGGACAGTATGGCCATTTTCACGCTATTAATTCTTCCCATCCATAAGCATGGAATGTTTTACCATTTATTTGTTTCCTCTCTTATTTCCTTAAACAGTGCTTTGTAGTTCTCTTTTAAGAGGTCCTTCACATCCCTTGTAAGTTGGATTCCTAGGTATTTTATTCTCTTTGCAGCGATTGTGAATGGGGGTTCACTCATGATTTGCTTCTCTGTCTATTATCAGTATATGGGAATGCTTCTGATTTTTGCAAATTGATTTTGTATCTGAGACTTGCTGAAGTTGCTTATCAGCTTAAGGAGTGTCTGGCCTGTGATGATGGGGTTTTCTAAATATACAATCATGTCATCTGCAAACAGAGACAATTTGACTTCCCCTCTTCATATTTGAATACGCTTTATTTCTTTCTCTTTCCTGATTGCCCTGGCCAGAACTACCAATACTTTGTTGAATAATAGTGGTGAGAGAGGGCATCCTTGTCTTGTGCCGGTTTTCCAAAGGAATGCTTCCAGCTTTTGCCCATTCAGTATGATATTGGCTGTGGGTTTGTCATAAATAGCTCTTATTATTTTGAGATATATTCCATCAATACCTAGTTTATTGAGAGTTTTTAGCATGAAGGGTGTTGAATTTTATCAGACCTTTTCTGCATCTATTGAGATAATCATGTGGTTTTTGTCATTGGTTCTGTTTATGTGACGGATTACGTTTATTGATTTGTGTATGTTGAACCAGCCTTGCATCCCAAGGATGAAGCTGACTTGATCGTGGTAGATAAGCTTTTTGATGTGTTGCTAGATTCGGTTTGCTAGTATTTTATTGAGGATTTCGCATCGATGTTCATCAGGGATATTGCCCTGAAATTTTCTTTGTTGTTGTGTCTCTGCCAGGTTTTAGTATTAGGATGATGCTGGCTTCATAAAATGAGTTAGGGAGGAGTCCCTCTTCTTCTGTTGTTTGCAAGAGTTTCAGAAGGAATGGTATCAATTCCTCTTTGTACTCATAAGTGGGAGTTGAACAATGAGAACACATGGACATAGGGAGGGGAACATCACACACAAGTACCTGTTGGTGGGTGGGGGAGCTAGGGGAGGGATAACATTAAGAGAAATACCTAATGTAGATGACGGGTTGATGGGTGCAGCGAACCACCATGGCACATGTATACTTATGTAACAAACTTGCATGTTCTGCACATGTATCCCAGAATTTAAAGTATAATATAAAATAAATAAAATAAAATAAAAAAAGAAAACTGAAAAGAACGTAACTATTAGAATTAAAAATAATTTAACAAGATTACTAGATTTAAAAAAATCAACATATAAAATTCAATTTTTAAAATCATTGAACTACAAACTTATTTGTGCTCTCTTATGTATGAGTATTATAGGTCAATAAAAAGTTTAATTTCTAAAGATGTGTATTTCTAAATACCAGGAACAAATAATTTTTAAAGATTTAATCTATTTTAGTAGCATTGAAAGTATAAAATATCTAGGAATAAATCTAACAAATAATAACCAAAACTTTTTAAAAATATTATAAAACTTTATAGAATTACATTCAAGAAGACTCAAATAAAGAAAACCTAAATTAATAAACTATGCTCATTGATTTTAAAACTAAATATTTGAATAAACTATTTTTGACTTATTCAGTATAGATCCAAATGCAATTTGAAAACAATGGTATTTTTGTAGCAATGTAGAAACTGAATCTGTAAATGCACATGGAAAAAAATGAACTGAGAATAACAGACACTCATGAAGAAAAGGAACAACATAAATGACTTCACCTTACCATATACTGAATATCATTATAAAACTAAAAATTAAATTGTAGTATTGCCAAAGGCAAGACAGAGAGATTCGTGGACACAGAATAAAGATCAGTAATAGATATTTGTAAATATACACTTGAGAACTTGATTAAAACAGAGCTGATTTTGCAGACTACTGTGTAATGGATAGAATCTTTGATAACTGTCGCTAGAACAATTAGTTGTCCATATAGAAAAAAAAATAAAGCCAGACTAATACCTCATATCAGAGACAAAAGTAAACATTATCTTAACTACAAAATTACATGTGAACAACTAAATTATAAAGCTTTGAGAAGACAATAGAGGAATATGTACTTATTACTTCAGGACTAAGAAGAATTTCTTTAAAAATATATAAACCAAAAACCATTTAGGTCATTGTTTGGGAATTAAGGACTTCTGCTCACACCGAGACAGCAAAACAAACCAAAAAACAAGCAACAAATGAGAAAAACATATTTTCAGTTATATAAGGGATATAAATGTTTGTGTGCATGTATCATAATATATATATTATAAATAAAGAATGACTAAACAAGGAAAAGATAAGTGATCCAATTAAAAAACAGGGAAAAATATTGTGAAGACACTATATAGGAAGAAACAACTAGTAACTATTAGGTTGGTGCATTAAAAGTAATGACAAAAACCGCAATTACTTTTGCACCAACATAATTTTTAAAGATTTACTTTAATCAAATTGAAAATTAGAAGAATCAAAAATAAAACCACAATAAGATGTCATTTCACACATATACTAGATAGGCAAGAATATTAAAATCTGAAAATGTCAATTATTAGAAAAGATGTGGAACATTCAGAAGAACAAATAGCTTATGATAATGTAATATAGAACAACAAGCCTGGAATGACATTACATAATAAATTTGAAGATATGCAAAACACTTCCATTCCTGAGAATACACCCTAGAGGAATTCTTGCTATTTATATGCTCCAAGAGTCCTGCTCAAGAATATCAATGGGCATACATTAGAGACACCTGGGAAGAACATTACTGAGCACTGAAAGAGGAATGACCTAAAGGTTCCACCTGTATTTACAGGCTAGAATGTGAGACAACACTGAAAATGAATGCATTACAGCTACGCACACCAACAAAAACATGTTTAAAATCTTAGCTATGACCGAGAAACACAAGTTATAGGAGAATACAGGAAGCCTAATTCCTTCATATACATATAAAATTGAACTATATAAAGTATAGGAAAAGAGCACATAGAATTATGATGAAAGGCAAGGGAATCTTAAACACAACATTCAGAACAGTGGTGTGGCTTTTCACCTGACTGAGAAAAGAAAGGAATGGACGAGGCAAGGAAGAGAGGAAATTTTAAAACAAGTAATATTATGTTTCTAAACCTGGATTATATTAATTGAATCACTGTGATTTATACTACTTACATTTTAGAGTTTTTTGCGCCTACAGATAATTTAAGCAAAATAAAAGAGTTTTTATTTCACTCTCATCTCAATCTCAAAGCATTGTCTGGTGCTCCCACTTGGAGGATGCCTACAACAGAATAAATAAGGAAGATGCTTACCCATCTTCACCGGAATTCCTGTTGGCTCCCTGAAGGCATATGTTTAAACAGATTGTGGAGTCTTATTGCACTATGTTCTTTCTTTCTCTACTTTCTTGTATAATTGATTAATGCTGATTAGTCCCCCTTCAAAGGTATTTATTTCTTTCCCTCCTCTTTAGCTCTCATAAAGGACACAAACTGACATGAGACACACAAATGTACTCAGCGCTAATCCATTTCCTTTTATCCTTCCCTAATAACTTCCTAAAATTTTATTTGTTCAATTTCATATATCCTCCTTTTTACCACCTGCTTTAACTGTTGTTTATAAAAACATACATGCTCAAAACCAATTCAATTAGGGGTTAGCCTTTCCACACATGGTGCTGGAGTAATTTACATCTATTGGCAAAGAAAAAAAAAAACTTTGACATAAATCTCACGTCCTGTACAAAAATTAATTCAAAATGCATAATAGACTTAAACATAAAACTATAAAACCTTCTGTAGAGGACCTTCAAGATCTGGGGCCAGACAAAGAGTTCTTATACTTTACAACAAAGGCACAATTCATAAAAAGAAAAATTGCTAAGTTAAGCATCATCAAAATTAAAAACTGTTGACTTGGATAAGACCCCGTTAATAGAATAAAAAGATAAATTACAGAGTGGAAGAAAATATTTACATACTAGGTATTATACAGAGGACTATTATGTAGAATATGTATACAATTTTTTAAACCAACAATAGAAAAGTAAGCAATCCACTTAGAACATTGGAAGGACAGGAAGGAAGTGGGTATAGCTATCTTTACTATATCAATGTCAATATCCTAGCTGTGATATTTTATTGTACTTTTGTGAGATACTACCCTTGGGGGAACTGGGATAAAAGTACACGGAATCTCTGTTTCCTTTCTTACAACCGCCTGTGAATCTACAATAATCTAAAAAATAACAAATTTTAAGCTTGGTGCACTTGGTGCATGACTATAGTCCCAGCTACTCAGGAGGCTGAGGTGAAAATTTGAGGCTTATACCCGGGAATTTGAGGCCAGTCTGGGCAATACAGGAAGAACTTGTCTCTCAAAATAAGAAAAATTTAATTAAGGAAGAAGAGCATGTGCTTTCAGAAGGTAATCGAATTAGTCCTAACAATTAAAATGTATACATTCTGATATTAGAACACCTTCTTGTTGAAAGAATAGTTTTATCTTTTTATGCCTCTGACACATTAAAATGTAACTCAATCGGGAAGATGATAAAATCACATTAATTTTATTACAGTTATTCATCATCATTCATCGTCACTATTCCCTTCCTTATTCACTTATAATTAATAAGCCATTTAACTTAACTGCTGAAAGTGACTTCAGTCAGAAATACAGTCTAATCCCTCATTTCAAATGGGGTATCTAAAGCAGAGCATCTCAAACTTTAGGGGCATGAGAATCATCTGGACAGTGTGTGTTAACTTACAGGTTGCTAGGTCTCACCCACAGAATATATAGTTCAGCAGTTCTGGGCATCCCTTGAGAATCTGCACTTCTATTAAGTTTCCAGGTGTTGCTGGTGCTGCTGATGCAGGTGATGAAGGCATTGGTCCACAGACCTCATTTTGAGTGGTACTCTTTCTGAGACCAGAGGACTTAAGTATTTGTCTAAAGGCTGCACAATTCACAATAGCTAAGCACTAGTACATTCTTTACCACTACTTTATTTTGAAATTTTGCTTATTTTATTATTTAAAAAAAATTATAAGGAAAATCCTTTTTTATCTCCACTGATTGGAATAATACGTCATAAACTAGAATTCCCACTTCTACAGCACATGTATATCTCACTAAGTGTTGGCCAAATTTTATAAAAAATCACAAAGGTTGAAGTCACCGTTTGAACTGTAGTTTAAAAAGATAGAAGTACTTGAGGTTTTGTGTAAGATGTATAAACTTGTCATAAAATGGCTTTCAAGCACAGCATGTTTAGCCCCACACAGCAGCATTGTCTTGCACACAGTCATCCTTAAACTATAAGGTAGCATCCATCATAAATCTTATTTTAGAACTATGAAAATAAAAAAGCAGCACTATTTCTCTCAGCATTGCATAGAAGTAGATTCAAAATTCCAAATATATATTATAATATTGCCATCTAATGGATAATCCACAAAGAAAATATAAAGTTCATAATTAAATGTGCTGCTGCTGTTGAAATTCTGCTATAATCCAGCATAAAACCTTAGATTACAAGATCAAAGATTGCTAAAAAAAAAAAGCATACTAATTTTTCTCTGATATGGAAAATAGTGACGTAAGTCACGAACCAATGCATGTGACAAAACATTTTCTTCTTTTTTCAATAAACATAATATTTCCTATTTTCCAGGAAACAAACGGGAATAAAATTTTCATTTTTTATTATTTCTAAAACTAAAAGGTCATTCTCCTTCAAAATATTTAATCACTAATTGTATTTTTTAATAAGATAGTTTGTAGAATTTTTTTATAAATTAGAGAAAACATCATAAATAAGGGAAGGAAATTTACAGTGACTGCCTTGGTCTTTGTAAAATAAGCAAGGGGTGGAGATCACAGTCAAGAGCACAGAACCAGCCGATAGTTATTATCTGACTTAAGCAAATAGACTACTGTTTTATCACTCACAAAATAAAGATTTGAGATCAAATAATCTTTAAGAACTTTCCTGATTTAACATTCATGATGAAATACTTTTATTTGAGTTTCAGTTCCCTTTCTTATGGAAGGTAAAAGTTGATTGCAGTTGAAAAATTACTTTCAAGCAAAGTTGAAGCCACAATCACATTTGCTTTCTCAGGGATTTCCTAACTGCTTTTCAAGGCTCTGGGGTTAAATATATATATTGTTTTCATTTTTCACACACCAGAGTTACATGTAATGTGAAAATGTGTTTTCCCACCCAGAGTCACCAAGGCCTTAGGAAATAAAGCCTTCCAAGTATGATTTCCTCTTAGTATAAATTTTCAGCAGCATATACCAAAGATAAAATCAGAGTGTCTAAAATTATATTACGTGTAAGCTTTCCTAGGGTTACTTACCTAGGGTTCCTCATATGTTTTAAAAGTTTTTGTTTTTTCTTTATCAAAAAACAAATGCAGAACAACAGAAGTAAGACAGAAGGAGAGGAAAAAAGGAGAAAGGGAGAAAGACTTCTTACAAAACCAAACTGCAAATGTAATGGAAATACTTTGGGACAATATTATTTGTGTGTGCTATATGTCAAATCATAAATGTTACAAAATTTGTGCCTAAATACATAAATATTTTCATAGTATATGTTCTTAGAAGTGAAATTGGTAATTTAGAGAATAGGCAATATTTACATTTTGATTGATACTGCCAAAATAATCTAGCTACAAAAAATAATAATGCAGTTTTTGTTTTCTTTCATTTTGTTTTTGAGACAGAGTCTCATTCTATTGCCAAGGCTAGAGCACAATGTCACGATCTTGGCTCACTGCAGTTTCCACCTCCCAGGTTCAAGGGATTCTCATGCCTCAGCCTCCTGAGTAGCTGGTATTACAGGTGTGTGTCACCACACCTGGCTAATTTTTGTAGAGACAGGGTTTCACCATGTTGGCCAGGCTGGTCTCGAACTCCTGACCTCAAGTGATCCACCCACAACCTCCCAAAGTGCTGGGATTACAGGCATGAGCCACCACAGCTGGCCAATGCTGCAGTTTTGATTGCTGTTGCTGAAAATGGAAAATACAGAGGCCACAGAAGCTAGATTGCCTTTATTAAGAAAAAGTTCATACTTTTGGACCTAGATGTAGCCCCCATCTCTACTACCATGATCACATACCTCTGCCTATTGTAACAGATTGGCATGGCCAATGATGAAGCCTGGCTAACTTTATCTGGCTGAATAATTTTGTCTACTTGGTTGTTTAGTGATTCTTCCATGTTAGATACTTTCTGAGAAGTAATACAAAATCTTCAAAATTCACATATACTATCATGTGTTCATAGACATGCTTCTACCTTAGATCTCTGTCTGATATCTACTAATTATTTTGTTGTCATGTCCCTGAGAAATTGACCAGGCCAGTGGCCACTGCTCAGGTATTTGTATACACTCTTGATTCAGGGCCCCATGTCTCCTCTGCCCTAATTGCCTGACCAGGTCACCACTCACATCTCCACTCATCTGTTATTGGTTTTCATCCACATAGTAGCTGACACATCTGTAAAACAAACTTGAGCTTTCCTTTCTCAGTTGGTGATACATGACCCTCATATGTCCATGGTTGCAAGCTGAGGAAAGTGTGCCTATGCACATGTAGAGTAATACATGGATTTTATTTACCTGATCACGCAGCTTACTTGTGCTATCAAGTCCTATCTAGATTCAATCTTAGATGTTCCATTTAAAATGTACAAGTATGTGTAAATTTACAACTTGATAGGGCTGACAGAACCCAGCTCATTACTATCAGTTTAGATGCATAGTTACTTGGTTCTGTTATCAAGTGTTTAGTCTCTACCAATAACATGCCAAGAGAGATTTCTCAAAGTCCCTACAGTTCTCTGTTGAGGTTGACCTAGCTTTGCTGTGGAATCACAAATTTCTGCATTTTCACTATAGAACTGGGCTTTGTCATAAGTTCCATGTAGCATCTTTTTCTATCACCACCACTTCTAATACCATAGACTCTTTTGGAATGTATGATTTTATCGGCATTGCTTCTTGCAGTGTGACCTGGATCTGCTACAAAACACTTTCTTGCTTCAGGTTCAATTCTAAACTTGCAGCTTATTTCTTCCAGGTGTGAGATGGTTTACCACCAGGATCCAAAGAGGCTCACCTGGTTCAGTGGTTTTTCATTTTGGTAATGGATGCAAAATGCAACTGTTTGTCTCTGACTTTGGAGAAGTTATACTAGATTATTATTGATCACAAGATCCCTAAATTCTACCAATGTGGCAAGTGCTTGTATCTTCATAGTGATTATCTTTCAGCCTGTAAAATACATGTGTTTTCCTAAGGCCCCTCCAGTGAACTAGCCACCTATTTATCATCCTGTCTAATCAGCATAATGTCACCAATGTAATGGATCTATGAAATGGCAAGGTGTGCCAGATAGTCTTGTATAATATTAGTACATGCTGGTTGCAGTAGTTCACTCCTGTTATCCCAGCACTTTGGGAGGCTGAGGTGAAAGAATCACTTGAGGAAAGAAGTTCAAAATCAGCCTGGGCAACATAGTGAGACCTGGTCACTACAGTTTTTTTTAATTAATGGGTCACTGTGGTGTGCACCTGCAGTCCCAGCTACTCCAGCTACTCAGGACGCTGAGGCCAGATAATTGTTTAAGCCCAGGAGTTCGAGGGTACGGTGAGCTATGATAGTACCAATGCACTCCAGCCTGGGCAACAGAGTGAGACCTGGTCTCTAAAAGATAGATGAATAAATAGAAAGATAGATAGGTAGGTAGGTAGATAGATAGATACATACATACATACATACATACATACATACATACATACATACTTATATATATAATTACAGTGGGCAGGAAAGTTAACATAACTCTGAGGAAAGCCTGAATAATTGTGTCTATCCCATGTAAATGTGAAAAATTTCTGATCCCTTTTTAAACTTGAAATAAGGAAGTGATTCACCAAATCAATGGCCACATATCATGTAGGTGAGGCCTTATTTTTCTTCTCTAGCAGTGATACCACATTTGCCTCAGTGACTGGGATTGGGTTTACTACTTGGTTAAGCCTGCAATAGGCTACAATAATTATCCAAGAGTTACTTACCATATTTTTTCAGGGGCCAGACTAGAGAATTAATCAGATATATGACAGTGACCACCATTGCTTTATCCTATAAGTCTACAATAATCTTACTAAACTTGATCACCCCATCCCCCACCACCATCCTCCAGGATATGATACTGTTTTTTGTTTTTACCTTGGCAGGCAGAAGGAAGTTTGAGAGGTTACACTTAGCCTTACTCATCATGTATCATAACTTATTCCACAGGCCAGGAAACCTGAAAATCTCTGTAGGTTTACTGACATTATCTAACACTCCATGGATCTCTGAACCATTGAATACAAGACTTTTCTCACTCTCCATGGTGCTTATAAAAGGTAATATGGGCAGGGTGTGGTGGCTCATGCCTGTAATCCCAGCACTTTGGGAGGCCAAGGTGGGCAAATCACCTGAGGTTGGGAGTTCGAGACCAGCCTGACCCACATGAAGAAACCCCGTCTCTACTAAAAATAAAAAATTAACCAGGTATGGTGGTGCATGCCTGTAATCCCAGCTACTTGGGAGGCTGAGGTAGGAGAATTGCTTGAACCTGAGAGGCAGAGGTTGCGGTGGCCTGAGATCACACCATTGCACTCCAGCTTGGGCAACAAAAGTGAAACTCAGTCTCAAAATGTAATAATAATAATAATAATATGAAGAGGACTGAGGATAGAAAAAGCTATTCCAGAAATCCCCCTTGAGTAGTTAAGCTTTCAGATATCATAATGAGGCTCACTTTTTCTTCTGTTTTTAATCAAGTTATCTCTTAGGGGAAAATAGGAGCCCAAAATCGTAGTAGCTAATAGGTTTTTGTTTTGTTTTGTTTTGTTTTGTTTTGAGCCATAAATATAATACTAGTCACTGGAGTCTATCCAGTGACCTGTTCTTGGTCATGTCATCCTGGTCCCCACTACAACATATTAACCAGGTCCTGAATATCTTTTGGTAAATATTCCATTTTTGTTTATATCAAGAACACTCTGAGCCCTTCCTAGGTCATGCTGAGATCTGAACCTAGTTATTTAAGAAGTTCGAGGATTACATTTTGAAGCATCTGCCCAAAGCAAGGTCTTTGTTGAGTCTCCAAGAAATAGGATGCCTTATCTCTAATTAGGGAATCTGCTAGCTTATTAGATACCAGAGGGAACAGGCAATCTACAAATTCAAAAATTTTATATGTATCTCCCCAAATGTCCTCAGCACAGTTCTCAGAATTGCTCTTCTTTCCTACTAGGGTCGTGATTAAAGTCAGGCCTACATTAAATTATAGGATGGGAATCATTAAATATTTTTTGGAAAGGGCTAGATAATTAATATTTTTACCTTTGCAGGCCATATGGTGTCTGTTGTAACTATTCAATTCTGTAGAGTGTTGAGTGAAAGCAGTCATAAAAAACAGGCTAATGAATGGTAATGGTTGTACTCCCATAAAATTTTATTAAAAAAAAAAGTGGTAGGCTGAATTTGACCTAAGGGCCATAATTGTCTGACCCCTACATTAGATCCTTGCCAGGACTATGAATATAAATTCCTTTGTTACTATGACACTTTATGATCAAATCTTCATTTTTATTACCAATACAAATCTGCCTTCTAGCTACAGAAAATGAGAGTTCTGTCTTTTCCAGCATGCCCTGAGTTGGTAGTTGACTAATCAAATCCTCTTTTTTTTTTCTTCAAGGTCTGTTTGGTGGATAACAAAAGTCAATCCAGTCCCTAACTGTATATCTAGTTGTCATAATTATTAATGTCCTTTTATCTTTCGAGTTTTAGAGCTATTTCTTAAGGTATATATTACATCCCAATATGCTCCAAATGATGAAAGTTTTAGTAATTATACCAAGCTAGAGATCTCAGCAGCAACTGATTCCTTGTTGCCATCTGTTTTGTTTGTTTTTAATTTTTTTTAATAAAAATAATTTCATTAAGGAAAAAATGAAAAGTAACAGTTTAAAGATTTTTTTAAAGAGGCGCATGAAAAATTAGGCTTATCCATTCTTTGACCTTTGTTTTGATTTTACACAAATGGTCTAAAACATCAAAATAAGCCTTAGTTGAGTTTAACTGAGTAGAATAAGACAATTATATTCTTTACATAAATCACAACATAATCAATGAATCTCTATTTGACTAAACCATGTAAATATAATTTCAAGACTTAGCTTCTCTATATTCCATGAAATCATGGATAAGAACTTGTCAAGCTAATTCTGAGTTCCCCAAATGCAGACTTTATATTTTACTATAAAAACAACTTCAGTAATCATACAGAAACAAAGCTCACATTGTTATAATAATTAACAAGGAACCAATTTATTTTTACTATCCAAACAACTAATTATTTAGCCTTTAAGATTTTTTTCTGTATTATCTCATTACAGTAAAAATGCATTTGGTTCAGAAATTATAAAAACAAGACCTTATCTTTCTTAAGTATACATATCTACTTGATTTCTTGTTGCCATATGAACAGTGACCGAATTAGAGGTTTTCAAGTGTTATGTCTGCTCACTGAGTTCTTTCCAAAGCATTTAGGTGAATGTAATTTAATCAGTGAGTGAACATAGAGGGCATATGAGGTGAGGAAGTGAGGAAGTAAGACAAAAAAAGATAAGAAGCTCAATAAAGGAAGCATTGACGATGAGCAGGTAGGAACTGCAGCTAAATTCTGATAAGAGCCCTCTGAATGACTAAAGAGAATACATTTCAGAATTGTCTCAATGAAGGAGAAAAAGTTGTGATCACCTACCAGCTCCCATCCGTCGTTTGTGGGAGGTTGCATCTTTGCACTAATAGCCCACCTCTACCCAGCCCCTCCAGACAGCTCTGGGACTCCCTGGGCATTATCTAGTGGAAGAAGAACACCCTCAGGCAGGAAGACGCAGGAAGCTATTGCTGTGTGTAGGAACTGTCTACTGAAAACCTCCAGGTGAACTGGGCTAATGTGTTCAGAGACCAACAAGATCTCTTACAAACGTATTTCAATGGATTTGTCTGGAGAAACCACAACGAGGAGTTTAACATCTGAGTAGTGACTGATCCACAGAAACACACTGTAAGAACAATAAAATAATTTCGAAAGGTTACTGTCACTTATTTTTTTAGTTAACAAAAATACATAGTGAATAAATTAAAATGGAATTTGGGGTAGGTGGCTATACAATCATTTGCATGTATTCAGGTATCTTGGTGATCTAGTCAGGGTGTCAATGCCCTCTATCCAAAGACCACTAGGAACACACTTGTATTTGAACAAGTTGTGATTATTGCTCCTTGAAGCAAAGGAGAAGACACACCGTGAAAAACCGTGGGCCATCAAAGCAACAGTGTGTTAGAAAGGACTGGTTATAAAATTTGGGTATGTGTTAGGTAATTTTGGGAAATATTTCAAGAAGCACACTTTGCTCTGGACGAAATGCTATCAGGAAGCAGGAGTAATATTATGACTGCATATTTGAATAAATCTTAGCTAGGAGGGCGGTAGACTAGAACAATTTTTTTTTTTTAGGCGGAATCTCACTGTGTCGTCCAGGCTGGAGTGCAGTGGCACAATCTCAGCTCACTGCAACCTCCACTTCTCAGGTTCAAGCGATTCTCCTGCCTCAGCACCCCAAGTAGCTGGGACTATAGGCACGTGACACCACGCCCAGCTAATTTTTTTTTTGTATTTTTAGTAGAGACAGGGTTTCATTGTGTTAGCCAGGATGGTCTCGATCTCCTGACCTTGTGATCTGCCCGCCTGAGCCTCCCAAAGTGCTGGGATTACAGGTGTCAGCCACCACGCCCAGCCCAGAACAATTTTAAAACTGTAGTTAGTAAAGCAACAGTCACTCACACTAGTTATGAGTGGGGGAATAGTTGGTCCTTTGTGGCAGAGGCAATGGCCACGTGTTGTCTGTGTTCAGATATGATTATGGAATGTTTTTGTCTTGACCCGTCAGATCATAGAATGGCCTTATCTGATGTTGATATTTTGTGAAATTGTTTATGTTTAACAGAACACCAAGGCACATCTCTGAATAGAAGGCCAGCTCATATCAGCAACAAGGCCCAGCTGATAGAAAAAGGCCAGATCCTGGATATCAGGGCATGCTTTCTTTCTCAAAGGCACAAACATAGTGGTACAGATTGCAAAACAGCTCATTCAAATCCATTTCATTTTATGAAACGACATGTGTTTTTTGAAACAAAAGTCATTAACTGATATGGTTTCACTGTGTCTCCACCCAAATCTTACCTTGAATTGTAGGTCACATAATGCCCATGTGTTGTGGGAGGGACCCAGTGGGAGGTAATTGAATTATAGGGGATGTTACCCTCATGCTGCAGTTCTTGTGATGGTGAGTGACTTCTCACAACAGCTGATGGTTTTATAAGGGGCTTTTCCCCCTTTTGCTTGGCACTTCTCCTTCCTGTTGCTATGAGAAGGACGTGTTTGCTTCCCTTTCCATCATGATGGTAAGTTTTCTGAGGTCTCCCCAACCATGCTGAACTGTGAGCCAATTAAACCTCTTTCCTTTATAAATTGCCTGGTCTGAGATATGTCTGTATTAGCAGCATGAGAATGGATTAATGTATTTACAAATGAGTGTGAATGGTAGATTTAAATTATTTGGTTGAGAATTGATAAGCAAGAATTGTTGTTTGTGTTTACATTTCTAAATCTTTTCAGTTTATGATATGATTATTTTTCATATTTAGAAACATCCACACATTTAAAATCTAAAATTATTATATTAATTTAATATAGTCTTTAATCATTTAGCATGTATAAATTAATATAAAAGTTCTCTAAGATAGGTCATTTTTAAAAGTCTTTATTTACTACCACCTTTAGTATCCACTTACTTGTTTATAAAAAATGTTGCTGAATTTCAGAAAAAAAAATTTATTTAGAATTTTTTACAGTTTGACCATACTGGGCATATTTTTTTCTACTGAAGATGAAAAGAGACTTCTATATGTATTCTGGAAAGCATCTTTACTTTTGTATTCAGTGTTATTGTGAAAATGAAAATACTGCTAAATAAAGATGAGTTTCTCACCATATGAAATACTTATCTTTACTTTCAAAATAATAAAATAGTGTAGGCAAAGTCATATTTGACATTTTCTTATTCTATGCCATCAAAATATAAAGAAAATGATAACAAAAATTATATAAAAATAAATTATACTGCTCAGAAATTAAGTCTCTTAAAAACATGAAATCATTTTCTTCCTACATTTCAGCGAGATTAGATAACTGACCATACAAGTTATAATTTTTATTTTCAAAAGTTTAAATTACTAAATGTGAAGTTGATCAGAAACACAACAAATTATAATTACTGAATCAGATAAGATCAGTTAATTTCTCTATTTTGTTTACAAACTGTATAAAATAATACATTCTGAAACATTTTAATTTGAAATATGTTAAGAATACAAATTCTTGGAAATATGATGCTTGAAATGTATTTTAAACTAATCAGATTAAACTATTCCCCAATTATTCCAGTTACATAAGATTTGGCTCTAGCACAGAGGAACCAAATAAGAGGTACAGGTTAATAATATAGAAAGGTGAGCAGAAATCATTTGTCAGTTTTCTATGACATGTCATCCTGGAGTGCCACTCAGAGGGGAAATACTGATATTTGTTATAGCTCAGTTATACCCTTGTTTTATATAAACATATTTTGTTACCTCTATTAATATTCCTGACAGATGAGTAAAGTGTACAGCTGTCTGTTTCTTATGGCTCTGGCTGCTGCACCTGGACAGCCTTTGTAATTAGCTAGGGAATGCCTCTTTTCCATCTGTCACTGCCATGATAACCAAATTTAGTGCTCAGTAGAAATTTGTTGTAAAAAAGAAATGATAAACAACTAAAAGAAAATGTACATATAAAACTATATTTTACTCTTCCACTTAAATCATTATACGAACACGCTGTTAAAAATAATTCTGCAAATCACATATTTAAGTAACCAAAGAATAAAATCTTGGTGTACATATACACACACTATCTATATATTATAGAAAAAGTTAAAGGCCTTTGTTTTACGTGAAGACCTGAGATTAGCATATCCTTAAAATTATTTCTAGGTCTACTATTCCATAATTCTAATATAGAATATTCTAACAAGGATAATGTCTAGTGGAGTCATATAGACTAAGAGGGACTCACATGTCTCAGAAATACTACCTCTTATTTGTATACACAAACCATAGCCTACCTCACGATGGGAAATCCTGGGGTAGTAGAAAAAATACAAGAGTACAAGCTTATTCCCAAATATTCTAGGAAGCAGTTAGCAGTAAGCTCCCCTCTTTATGCCCCTGAAAAATAGAGAACACATGTGTCACAACATTTAAGAACCTCACAGCAAAGAGAAAATATTTTAGCAATTTTTATTCTGGAAGTTGCAGTAAGACTGAAGTTGAGACTGAAAGTCTTTTTGCTGTGTTTTATGTCTAGATCAGAATTACATCATCACCTTTAATAGTGATTAGCAAAATTACTTATAATGAAATTTTATTTCTTAGAATCCTACTACCTAACTGGAGTCATTTCTCTTATTTGAATTTCATTCCATGGTTCATGTGAATTTTTTTGTTGTTTTGAGCATTTTTCTATAATTCCAAAGCTAAGAAGCTTATTAAATGGGGCCAAATATTCCCTGACACCAATAATATTAATTCCAAAATTCACTTTATTTCAAGTTTTTTTCTGATTTAAACATTCCCAAATAAATGTTCATATTGGCGGAAATTAAGGGCAGAATAGCTCTCTCAGGAGATCCTTGTCTACTGCTGAGAAAATAGTTTTCTTTAAGTCAATACAAGGGATTCATAGTCTTTTTATTTAAAGAAAACTTCTATCCATATAAAAATGTATATTATTATTATACTTTTCCTTAATATTAATTTTATAATGCTTAAAATAAAGTTAGTTAATTGCATTATTCACTCATTAATCTTTAGCAAATATCTTTTAATTTTTACACATCTTCCCCATTTTCCTTAAATTATTACATCAGCGAAATATTCTCCAACATGTTTTCATCTATTTGCATACACAAGCATTTTATATATTGTATATATTCTATATAAAACCAATTCTAAATAAAAGTATTTTATATATATTTCTTTTACTAATACATATTTTCTGAAAGAAAGTATACCATCTGTATCAGTTTTTGCAGTGTAAGAAAACCACTTCAAAGTCACATCTAAAGTTGGTTGGGCAGGTTTTACTGTCTTGCCTGGGCTCAAATATGTATCTTAGGTTAGATAGAGGTCTGTAGTTCTGCTAATATTTGCTCAGCTCTCTAATATGTTTGCGAGTGGGCTGACTAATATCTGCTCTAGTATGGCTTCATCAGAAGGGTTGGGATGACTTGCTGCTTTACCAAATGGTCTCTTATCATGGAGCCTAGGATAGTCTTATCCTAGCTTTCTCTTCATGGAAGTGCCAGGGTTCTGAGAAAGGGCAGAAGCACACAGGGAATCTTGAGGCCTAAGTCTGAAACCCACACATCACTTTCACTATATCTATTTGCCAAAGCAGTTCACAGGACAGCCAAGAGTCAAGAAATGAGAAATAGATTCCACTTCCTTAAAGGAAGAGCTTTAAAGTCACACTATCTTTGAAGCATTGGGTGAAAGATTAGAGCCATTTTGTAATTAATCTACCCTATTATCTAATATTATGTGCAATATAATTCAATTTCATTCACCATTGTATGTTTAGCACCTGGAAGACTACCTGGAACATATAAGAAATAAATATTTGTAAGACAAAAGAATGTAAAATCCCACCCCACTTGGAGGACTACTACTTATATGGAAAATAATATTGATTGTCTTGCCCAGCATTTATTCCAACAAGTGACCACCATGCTTTTCCAGAATGCCAATGTTTGAAAACTAAACCCTTTATTCCACAAGCAGTTTAGTACTTAGTTTCTTGATGGAGGCTTGGTTTTGCAAAACAAGCATCTCCGAGAGTTGACAGAAGAAAATAGTGTGAGGCGGTGCCCACTCTAGGAAATGATTCTTCTTTAAGCAACTCTGATGTATACTTTTCACTTCTTCTTCTTCTGAGACATACCTAAAAGTTTCTGGTGTCTTGTTCTTAGGATCATATTGAAGCAGTAGCAGTTAGGTTTCTACATTTGAATCTCTGATTTGTTTCAACTTTTTTCCCTTTCAAACAAAAATTAAAAAAATAAATTATAAATGCCTGTGCAAATAAGTAATTCACTTTTATCTTTTACATTTTTAAAGCCATTAAAAATACATTTTATATTTGTTCTGATTATTTGTTCCAAAATGAATCACCAGGAGTGGGTAGCAATTAATGAGCATTGAGAGGTTCTACATCACTTGTGAAATGCAAGCTTCAGGAAGACAGAATGTCACCTAATTAGTCATGTTAGCGCTAACTAAGGCCTCCTCTCAGCACTTCAAGAGAGACAGACAGTCACCCAACAACCACTATGTATTCACAACTCATGAAAGTACTAACAGCTATGAAACCTCTGCAATTTGAATTGCCAATGAAGAATCTTAATTTTCCACCACAATATGTTGTTCATGTGACTACATTAGTTGAGATTCTCCAACCCAAATTCACAAAGTCCTAGAGTCTGCACATTAAGGCTCAAGAACATTTACACAGATTTGGATCCATAGAATGTGTTGAGTTATACTTGGTGATTGCATGAGATAATTTTTCAAGGAAGAAGTATATCAGTCCTAATCTCGCTGAAAAAAAAAGTGGATAGATATTTACCTATGAGAATGAAAAGTAAATCATGAAAGGCTTGGTTTCTTAGAAACATACAGTCTGTGTCTCTTGGAAAATTTGCTTCAAAAGTAAAGTTTAATCTTCCAAATTACTGTATTGTTCAACTAATATTCCTCCCTGCCAAATTGAGAAAAGTCTATTTGAGTTTCCATCGTTAGAAATTAATAATAAAACCTGATTTTGTAAACAGGAAAGTTAAAATTTAGACCTTTTCTCTAACAGCAAATTTTATGACAATAATCAAATTTTATTTTTAATTAATATTATACTTGTTGACATTTTAATAATTTTAAATGACATTTTAAGTCATTCACTTTTATTTTTTACATTTTTAAAGCCATTAAAAATACATTTTAGATTTGTTCTGATTATTTGTTCCAAAAATGAATCACCAAGAGTGGGTAGCAATTAATGAGCATTGAGAGGTTCTACATCACATCTGAAATGCAAGCTTCAGGAACATAGAATGCCAAAATTCCCACTGAGGAGCCAACAACTTGCTGCAATATTTCTTTATCTATGTTTTCACAGTTTTCATAACCTAACATATATACAAGTATACATTAACATCAATTCATTTTCATTTCAGAATACTCAAAACTACAGAAAATGTATGACAGAGCAAAGTTGAGTATTGTTATAAATTTAAGGAAGACTGTATTCTTCAGCCCTCTCATGAATAAAACTTAAAACTGAAGTTTTAAAACAAATTCTCGTTAACTTCTCCAAACTAAGAGATGGAACAGAGCTTACGAAATCTATTTTCTAGGTTAGAGCTCCTCTCAGTGGCTTTATTTAGAATTTCACATGGCATATACGTAGAATACTCTTAAATTTATGGTCCCACAAAAGTTTACAGAAATAAAGTAGGAAAAAGGCTCACTTCAATACTCTGAGAGATATTGAGGGACAACTATTTAGGTTTCTTTTGTATATCTATAAAATGTTAAAACAAGGCTACTTAGAATAATATAAAGTACTCCAGATTTTTCAGATTACCCAATCATGATCACGGTCTTTTCACATCAGAGATATAAAAACAAATATCCTTCAAACTCTGCTTCCACTAATAGCCTCTTGATGACTTCTAGCAAATCTCACCAACCTTGCCCTACCCCCTACCATTAATCTAAGAGGAGAACTCTTTGAAACTAGAGTTTCATTCTCCTAATCAAATATCACTACAGTGCTTATAGGACTTAATATACTAATTACAGCCCTTTACGTCCTGCATATGCTAATCACAACACAACAAGGGACACTTACATATTATTTTAACAGTATGAAACCTTCCTTTACATGAGAAAATACATTAATATTTACACATTTTGCACCTATCTTCCTATTATCCTTATACCCTAAAATTTTTATGTGATTTTCATGCGGTAGCTATAGTTTAACCAAAACATTAGATGTGAATCTAATAATAGAAGCATGCAACTTCTTATCTACAGAGAAAGTATGCAAGAATTGCTAAGTCATGCACCAATGCCTAACAACATGGCTCTCTCAACTTTTGAAGGATTAGAGTCATCCTTTGGTCTTAGGAACCAAAAACACTGATGCAACTCCAAATAAAAGTAACAAACATGTATTTTTCCACTACTGTAATAGCCCTAATTCCCTTAATCTTACCGACTATTACTACCTTAGCCAATCCCTGCAAAAAAAGGTTCATACCCATTTTACCTAAAAATATCTATTGCATGCGCCTTCATCATTAGCCTCATCACTACAATGTTTATATGTACAGATCAAGAAGTTATTATCTCAAACTGACATTGAATGACAATCCAAACTCTTAAACTTTCACTAAGCTTAAAACTATACTACTTCTCCACAATATTTATCGCAGTAACATTATTCATTACCTGATCTATTGAAGACTTTTCAATATGATATATAAATTCAGATCCTAACATTAATCAATTTTTCAAATACCTACTTATCCTCATCACGATATTAATTCTGGTTACTGTCAACAATCTCTTTCAGCTCTTTATCGTATGAGAAGGTGTAGGAATTATATCTTTTTTACTAATTAGCTGATGGCACGGCCGAGCAGATGCTAATACAGCAGCCCTCCAAGCAATTCTGTACAACCGCATCAGCGGTATTGGCTTTATTTTAGCTATAGCATGATTCCTCTTATTCTCCAACACATGAGACTTTCAACAAGCATTTATTCTAAATCTTATCCATGACTCCCTTACATTAATTAGCCTACTCTTAGCAGCAGCAGGAAAGTCAGCTCAATTCAGTCTCCATCCCTGACTTCCATCTGCTGTATAAGGCCCAACCGCAGTCTCAGCTCTACTCCACTCTAGCACTATAGTTGCAGAAGTTTTCCTGCTCATCCACTTCTACCCTTTAATAGAAAATAACCCATTAATGCAAACCTTTACATTATTCCTAGGGGCTATTACCATCTTATTTACAGCGATCTGCCCTTTAAAACAAAATGATATCAAAAAAATGGTAGCATTTTCCACCTCAAGCCAGCTGGGCCTTATAATAGTCACAGTTGTCATTAATCAGCCACACGTAACATTCCTTCACATCTGCACCCATGCCTTTTTAAAGCTATATTATTTATATATTCAGGGTCCATCACCCATAATCTCAATGATGAACAAGACATTTGAAAAATAGGAGGGTTATTCAAGACTTTACCTTTCACTTCCTCCTCCCTTATTATTGGTAGCCTCTCACTTACAGGTGTGTTTTCCTCACAGGCTTTTACTCTAAAGACCTTATTATCGAAGGTCTTTAGAGTAACTATGTCATAGACCAACACCTGAGCCCTTTCTATTATTCTTATCACCACCTCATTGACACCTGTTTATAGTACCCAAATTATTTTCTTCACTCTGATAGGGCAACCTCGCTTCTCAGTTCTGATTATTATTAACGAAAATAATCCCTTCCTAATTAACTCAATTAAATGCCTAACAATTGGCAGTATCTTCCCTGGATTCCTTATGCTCAACGGTATTATTCCTACTTCAGCTCCCCCAACAGCTATACCACTCCATCTAAAACTCACAGCCCTAGGTGTGACCACCTTAGGGCTCTTATTAACAATGGAGTTTAATCTCATAACTAATAACCTTAAACTAAAGCACCCATTACAGATATTCAATTTCTCCAACATACTAGGTTTTTATTCAGCCACAATTCACTGTTCAACCCCCCACTCAAGCCTGTCCACAAGCCAAAATCTGGCTTCACTTCTACTAGACCTAATTTGACTAGAAAAATCTATACCAAGGACCGACCGTTTCACAAACCCAAATTTCAGCCTCCATTACCGTATCTACTCAGAAAGGCCTAATTAAACTCTATTTTCTCTCTTTTTTTATTCCATCCATTCTAACCCTACTATTAATTATCTAATCTATTACCCCGAGCAATTTCAATTGCAACATAAATACTAACAAACAGTGATCAACCAGCAACTACCACTAATCAACACCCGTAACTATATAAGGCAGCCACACCCACAGAATCCTCATGCAACAACCCTGCCCCCTCACCCTCAAAATTTATTCAGCTCCCTATGCTTTTAAAATCAATGGTGATCCCTACCCCATCGCACTCAACTATTCACCAAACCAACAGCAACTCTATTAATAACCCTAATAATAAAGCCCCTCAAATGTCAATACTTGACCCTCATGTTTCAGGATACTCCTCAATAGCCATTGCCGCAGTATAACCAAAAACAACCATCATACCACCCAAATAAATCAAAAAGACTATTAAACCCACAAAAGCTCTACCAAGATTCAACACGATGCCACAGTCCACAGCACCACCAACAATTAGCCCCAGGCCTCCACAAAGAGGAGAAGATTTTGAAGAAAAACCTACAAACCCTATAACCAAAAGAATACTCAATAAAAATAAAGCATAAGCCATTATTCCCACATGGATTATAACCATGACTAATAATATGAAAAACCATAGTTGTATATCAACTATAAAAACACTAATGACCAACACCCGCAAAACACATCCACTAATAAAAAATTATTAACTATTCATTCATTGATCTTCCCACACCATCTAATATTACTACATGATGCAACTATGGCTCGCTTCTTGGCACCTGCCTAATTCTCCAGATCATTACAGGATTATTTTTGGCCATACACTATATACCAGACACCTCAAATGCCTTCTCTTCATTCACCCATATTAGCTGAGATGTAAATTACAGCTGAATGGTTGGCTATTTTCATGTTGATGGCGCCTCAATATTTTTCATCTGCCTCTTCCTACATGTTGGCCGAGGCTTATACTATGGATCATTTATATTCCTAGAAACCTGAAATATTGATTTTTTATATACCGAGTTAAGTTTTTAAATTATATTTAATGATACAGTGATAAATAACTGGGTGGCGTTTAGAGTAATATGCTGCCTAATGAAGCAAGGAAGCCATCATGATTTAAATTAGATGTACATATAAAGCATAAAGAAATAAGGTAAAAATCAAAAGAATCCACTATGAAAGAAACAATTATTCTTTCAGGACTTACCACAAGGTAGCATTTTCGATTTCCAAGACTTAAAATACTATATACAATCTAGTGAAGAGCAGTCAATTAAAAGACTAAAATTGAAATACTATATACAACTATATATATAAAATACTATATAACATTAATATTATATTAATACTATATAACATTAATATTATATTATATTAATACTATATAATATTAATATTATATATAAAATACTATATACAGTTAGTGAAGAACAATTAAAAGACTAAAATTGAAGACTAACAAAATCAAGTGTTGATGAAGATGTAGAAAAACTCAGATTTTCATACACTGTGAATTTGAATGTAAAGTATTGCAACCACTTTATAATATATTTCAGCCATTTCTTAAAGAGTTAAACATATGTCTGCCATATAACCAGCTATTTTACTTTTAGGGATATAAAAGTATATACCCATACAAAGGTTTGTACATACATGGTTATTTCAGCTTTGTTTATAATAAGAAAAGCTTAACTCAATTGTCCATCATCAGATGAACAAACCTTAAACTATAGCATACTATAAAGTAAAATCCTAATCCTCAATAAAAAGAAATTGACTAATACATATGACAACATGGAAAAATCTCAAAACCAGTATTCTGAGGGAAAAAAAGCTAGACACAGTAAATACTGTATGAGTCCATTAAAAAGTCAAACTAAATTGACAATATAAAATTATTAATTTTGATAGCTAGCTAGCTACATAGATAATTTTTAACATCTCTGTCATCTTAGAAAGTTCAGATACAGCCTTTTAATAATAAAAGGCTACCATCTAAAAATATTAAAATACCATTTTTAAGTTAAATATATAGAGCTCTTGAAAAAATAGCTAATTAAGGTCTAGGGCAGGAAATGTAAAAGATGGTGCAATAATATTTTGTCATGCCAGATCATGAAGAAGAATCAGCTGTCAAAACTGCCAACCTCATTTGAAATAAAATTACAAGCTAAATTAGAGAGACTATCACTGTTAAAAAATTGAATAACTTGAGCTTCAACAATGATAACAATTGCAATGGATTGTTACCCATAAAACTTGCTTAAATCTATGAGCCCATAGTATTTTTATGAAAAAACAAAATTATCAATTTTAGAGGATAATAAGAAATTTATCCATCATCTTGAAAGCTGAGGAATAATGGGAAATGATAGTTTTTAACCTCCTTTTCCTTTATAAATTGTATTATCACATAATGAAATAAAAGCACATCTTTATGAAAATATAATGATTGGAAAAGAAATGGTAGAATTATAATACCACCATTTTATAACCCCTTCCACAATGAATTAGTAAATCTGCACATTAAGCCTCAACATTACAAATGTTGTAATGCTAACGTTACAAATAGGGAGGTGGCCGGACTTTTTATGTTACCTGTAGTCTTGCCCAACATGCCCTTTAGTCTTGACAAAAGGATCTGAGTCTGATTAAACTTCTGGATCCAGTTGCCAACTTTTAGAAAACACAAAAGACAGAGAATCATATTGAAATGCACTGTGACTGTGCAGCCAGCAAAATCCAGACAGTGGAAAACTTTCTAGGTCAAACACCAGGGTCCTTCAAGAGATAAATTGTAAGACAAAGAGATGACGGATACACTGAATAAGACAAAAAATATATCAGTTTGTAAAAATTGACATGATTAAGTGATATTGTCTAGTGATGTGCATTTGTGTAATAAAACTTTTTTTAGTAGGAAATTATTGTAACTTAAAAGGATTAAGTTGTTTTGGAAAGAGAGAAGAATTTATTCTGGATTAGGACATTTAGAAGGGCTTCTGGGGCACTTGACAATGCTTTATTGTATGAACTGGTGGTTATTTCCCTTCTAACAATTCTTTATACATTGGTTTTGTGGGTTTTTCTGTCTTTTTCATTTTATTGTAGTAATATTTTTACAAAGAGGAAGAAGAAAGAAGATTCACACATGAGATTCACAAATACAGAATCTGTCTCTTTCATCAAAAGTTGATTTTAAATTAAACTGTAATATTAAAATTAAATTACTGAACTGGCTTCTAATGAAGGATTGAAAGTGAATTCAATCATTTCAAAATGAAGTCCCTTTGCTTCATTTTGTAGAAAAACAAAACCCAACATTATGAGGTTCATGGAATTGCATTAAAATCTCTTTAAGTCCTTACAACATAATTTTGTGAGATGGGTTTCTTTTTCATTAAAATGAAATGAAAAACATGTTTATTTATGTATATTTGCAACACATGTAGCACTGTTATTTATGTAATTTAGATTAGATAAATTAAATACAGCAACAAAAAATCTCATTTGATACAAAAAAATTTAAATATGGATATAAGCAGTATTTATTCAAAGTGTCTTACATAAGCATTTAATTTGAGCAATTGCTATATCACTCATTTATTTATATGTGTGGAACAAAAAGTTATAATATAAAATTAACTATGCTAATCACCTATACACAGGTTTTCAGCACATAGTAGCCACAGTTTTACAACTCTTGTACTTGCCTATATATGATGTCTTTGTTTTTACTTAATTCAAATATTGTATCTGTTGTATCTACTAATAAAATTTAGACTTGCATTTCATATAATTTGGCTTTTACATTTTCTTTTAATCCATTTTACTGTGTTTTGAAAGAATTACTCTACAATAAATTGGAGTTTAAATAGCCTAGTCCATCATTATAGATAATTTGGGAAGTACTGCCTTTCAACATTGAGCAGAACATCTTTTATTCATTTAGAAATGAATATATATTAAGTTGAATTTTTAAATTCAAACTCACCAGATTTTACTGCTTGATATTGCTTCTTAGATCTTAACATCTTCTTACCTCACATTTTAATTTGTACTATGTAACAATATTTCAGTACAGGGCATACTTAGCTAATTTAATTCAGCGAAATTCAGTTTAGTTCTACTAAATTCCTGCCATGTGAAACATGCAGAGTTAGGCAATAAAGGGATAAAGGAATCATTAATAAATTGTCCCAAGCCTTAAGCAGTTTAGAGTCCAACATGAAGTATAAGAAAGATATACAATTCCTTTTTTTTTTACTTTTATTTTAAGTTCAGAGGTACAAGTGCAGGTTTGTTACCTAGGTAAATTCATGTCTTTGCAATTGTGAATACTGCTGCAATTAACATTACTTTTATATAAATCAAATAGAAAGTGTGACAAGCATTTTATCAGGTAGGGAGAAATCATATTTTATTTAAGAGATCAAGGGATCTCTTAACTAATTAATTAAGATAAGTTTGAAAGGTATTAGTAGAGAGAAAGAGAAAAAAGCATCAATAAAATAATTAAATGAAAATACATTGTTCTATATTTTCACATAAAAAAGCACTTGAATTAATGGAAATATAAATGTAATAGTAGATAGCATTTGAAAGCTATATTATTGAGGACATCAAATACTCAGGCTAAATAACATTTATTATTTCAACAACCAATCGCATTGTTACACAGGTCCATGTCACAGTCTACATGTTAGAAAATAGTGGGTGGGAGAGGACAAGATGAAAAATACAAAGATAAATTAACCAAATGATCTTGTAAAAAGATACTTATAACATGGTGATAAATTCTGTGACAGAAATTATAAGGTCTAAGAGCATAAAGATGAAAAAAGTCTTGTCTTTAAGCTATGATTTGGGGCTTGAAGTATGTGTAAGGGAAGACTAGACAAAGCAAACGAATATTATAGGCTTAGGGGAGAGCATTCATTTATTCAGCTATATAATTAAAATTCATTGAATTTCTACTAACTTTTAGGTTTTAAGTACTTACAACTTTACATATAAATGGAAATACACAGTACCTAATCTTTTGCATCTGATTTCCATTACTTAATATCATGTTTGTGAGACTCATCTATGCTATGGCATAAAGACTCGTCTGTGCTATGCCACCTATGCTATGTGAGACTCATCTGTGCTATGCAGTTTATTTGCTTCCACTGATGGATAGTATTATTTTGCATGAATATACCACAATATATTTATCCACTCTTCTTTGGAGCTATGACTTATGCTGCAATAAACCTTCTTGTAATAATTTTTGTCAAGCATATTATCACGAGTTCCTGTTGGGTATAAGCATGGGAGTGTAATTTCTGGGTCAAAAGTTGTGAATGGTGCCAAGAGTAACTACCTTATAATATCAAACTATTTTTCAAACCCATATCAATTTATACTCCTACCAGCTCATATGAGAGTTGTCATTAATTTTTGTTCAATTAGACCTTGCTGATATTTAATTTGAGCTATCTTAACATGTCAATATTAGGATGTTGTCACATTTCATTAATTATTAATAACATGTATTAGCACTGTTTATATGATTATTAGCTATTTGGATTCCTTCTTTGGGAAAGTGGCTGTTCAAGTAATGCTATGTTCTCAGAAAGAGAAGCGTCTAGTGAAAAATCGATTTGAGGTTGTGAGGAAGATGATGAGCTTTATTTCAAACATCCCAATTTGAGCTACTAGTGAAACTTACAGGTGAAGATGTTTAGCAGAGTGTTGAAAAGTGATTTGGAGCTTGCAAGGAAAGATAGAAACGATTCCTAAATCTCCATCTTTGCAAAGACAGGAAGAAAAAAGGCAACAACACGAGTGGAGAGAAGTTAGAACAGAAATATTATTTTCGATAAAACAAGAACAAAGGAAGACGCCACAGGCAGATTTTGTGATAGAAAAGATATTGATGGAGTTAATGTCAAATGATCTCTGTCTTATCGGACAGGAAATTGATGTGGACTCAGCTAGTGCCAAACTATTTCCAGTGTTCTAAAATCCTGTGCAAATAAAATCCTTTCTCTGTTGCTTTATCTGTCAGAGGGAACTTAATTTCTTCCAGGTTTCTTTCTCTGAAATCTTGTAGTTCTGAGTCTCTTTTAGTTGCTATAAATCTAATCCCTCTTGAGACAGAGTCTCTCTACACAGCTGCTTATATTTGTCACTTCCTAGATGTCTGTCAAGGGCTCCATGACCTCCAAGGTCCCTGGAGTGCCAAACTTCTATAAACTATTAAATAATTTCCTCCAGTGAAATAATCCTTTCCAACAGGGATTTTATGGACTCATCCTGCCTTCCAATCATTTTTTCATAGATTCTATGTAGTAAAACTTTTGCAAAGTTTCTCATGCTTTAACCAATGTATCCTGCAAAAGACTTTTGGACAAATGAAGCATTACTCTCAAATTTATGAATCTCTCTTATTGTTATATCCTTAATCTGTTGCTCAATAATTGTAGGATAGTAGACTTGGAGCAGACATCTTCTAAGTGAAAAAATAAGTAACATGGAATGAAGGTTTCTTTAAATTCCAAACGACTTCTCCAATTTTGACTATACCAAAAATTTCTGTATCTCTGAAATATCTGGAGGAACTTCTCTTTCTTCTTTTTTTCCCTCCAAACAACATTATAATGTAAAATTTGGTTTAAAAATGAATAAAATAAAAAAGTGTATCAAATATAAAAACGTATGTAGCCTTATATAGTAAGACAAAAGGAGCACATAAAACAAAGTTTGCTTTGTTGCAAGGGTAAAGTTGTAAGTGAATGCTTATTTTGTATATTAGACACCATTTTAATGTATCAAAAATGCTGGTTATATAATAAAAATATGTTACCTGATTTTAAATCCAAGCAAGGATTTAGCTTCAACATCTTAGAGTTAGAAATATGAGATCAGAGCCATTTTTTAAAAATTGAGACAGCAGGATAAAAATAATTTATTCATAGGACCATGTTCAATCACTGTTATCATCCCATACTCTTATATAATACTCTAGTTTTTAAAAATCTAACATTATTATCTAATTTGATGACATCATGTTTTATTTCTGCCACCTACTTCTTCCTGTTCTGATAATTCTACCAGGCTGAATTTAATTTGCCAATATAAAAAAATAAGAAAACACACGTTAATCACAAATGCCTCATTTGTGCAACAAAATGAACATATTTCTATAATAAAGTTTCCCATGTCAATATAGATATTGTTAGTACAGCTTAATTATTTCTTATTTTCAGATTACATAATTAACACAAATTGAAGCTCTAGTTTTTTCTGTGTTCCCAAAGGATCATTTTTTTCTTATATAGAGATTCATCAAACACTTTGGAGTTTGTTTTTAATATAAACACTATCACTGGGAAAAATATTATGTCTGGTGAATAAGGCTTACATTTGCTTTCCGTGGTAGTAATAGGCATTTTATTAGACTGTTTTTAAGGAACTATCTGAAGAGAGAAGTATAAGCAACTATAAAGGAAAATCCTACCGTGGTAAGGAGAATTATTACTCCTAAGGATAAACCAAGAAAAAATGCAAAGTGCTTCATGAAAATACCAAAATAATCATTCTTAGAATTATTTAGTAGATAAGATGAACATCATAGCTATTACTCTAGGGAAAACACATTTTTTAATAGCGCAGTGTCTAAAGCCATTTTATAAAGGCTTAGGCTGGGAACTCTGTAGTTCAAAATCTAAACTGACACAAGCAACTCTTCCCGTATTTTGTAACTTTCCTTTTATTCTTTTTGGTTCTCTTTATAGGCCATTTATTTTACTATTTGATAGAAGAAGTAATATTCACTTATGAAATAGTTTTCAGTACCATTTGAAGTCATTAAAGAAAAAAATGTTTAAAAAATAGAGCTATAACCAGTCTCTTATTTTGCTGCAGTGTATTGTGCACAATTAGTGATTATTTATGTTCTCTCTAATTGTTAAACACTGTTAAGGATCTTGATGAAATAATATAAAACACCCTACCAATCTTTTATAAAGGGTATTTTCACCTGTTGTTTAATGACTATATGATTAATTTAATCCGTATTTTTATAAAAGATTCCCGAAGATTTCTTGTGTTTTTCTGGAATGCAGGAAGGAAAGAAAGTTAGAAGACAACAGAAGATTAGATGATCACCTCTCAAGGGATGAAGTCAGACTTCATTTTTTTCATGTCATACCTGATTCTTTAATGACTCTGCCATGGTGGATCTTAGAAGAGTGTCCCTAAATGATGAGTTCTCACTTATTTCTGCTAAAAACACTGAGTATATTTTATACGTATCTACTGTTGACTTTTCTCAGTGCCATCATTAAATGTCATGCATGCATTTTTGGAATTAAAAAGGCAAAATTATTCTGTGCATATAAAGGATGTTTTAGCTTGCTGATTATAGCAGAATGAGGGGCCTTTTAAAATTCGTATCACCACACAGGCAAGAAGTGAGTGTTTGGCACATGAGAGTAGAAAATACAAAAAGGAAGAGCTCAACTTCAAATCTGAAAAAAAAAATGATGAAAGCACATCATACCTTAAATTTGACTCCATAGTCCAAAAAACTACCAAAAAATAGCATAGCGTATTAGAATTAATTATGCTTTCAGAAGGTGCAACAGAAAGAATAAAAGTATGGTTAAACAAGTTTATAAAGAATACAGTGGTAAAACCCAAGGACCAAGTAGAAATTTTCCAGAATAACATTGGTTCTCATTGTACATATTTCTTTTTCTCAAACATTCTTTTTTTTGTCAATAGTGTCACAATCAAACCAATTGTTTTGGTCAAAACCCTAGACATCTTCTGTGAATTTATCTTTCTCTGTCTTTCAATATATAACCCCGTAGCCTATTTTATCTGCCTTACCTCCAAAATACATATCAAATCTTGCCTCTTCTTTAAATTTCACCTACTACCAACTTTTTCTAAACCCCATCCTCTCTCACCTCAGCTACTGCAAAGTTATCTGTGATAAAGCCTTTTAAATTCCAACATCCCCAATATCTATTCATAGTTTAGAGGTGTTACCTTCCCACAAATCTGTTGTTTACGATACCCATAAAGTAAGTATCATTAACTGGAAGTTGAGGTGAATGGGCTATACACAGACCAGTAAATTGAAAAGTGTAATCCTTGGAGTTAAGAACTATGTGAAGATAAGCTTTTTTGATGTGGTTACTATCACATGAAAAGGAGTGGAAGCATACAGAGTGAAAGTCCAATAAGATCTTGGAAAAATTCTGTTGCCAAAAAAATCATCAGTTTGACCTGTCAAAGTCCATGTCTATTTGACTCTTAAAGGCAGCCCTGGATCTCCAAGCCCACAGTAGCAGAAACAGTCATCAAAAGTGTGTGGACACTAACAGCATACTGCATGATGCCACTACAGATATGGTCACAGAGGATAATACACGAGAGAGTTTCTCCCTGACAGCAAATTTTATTGTGAGAGCATGGGGGCCATGAGGCATAATAAAAAAGAAAAGCTTTTATTTTTTCTGTCTAAAAAATGTATCCTGCTCTCAAGGCTGAAAGTCTCTGGAGTTTCTGAACAGCAGATTTTTAACATTGACATGTAACTGTGACAACTGTATGTATTCTATTCTTACCTTTCTGAAATAGAATATAAAATACAGTTTGTCATGTTTCTTACTGCATCATTATATATTGAGTTGACTCAAGACTACATATAACTTTTTTTTAGTTTATTGGTCACTTGATCATGAGAAAATACATCTTGGACTTGAAACTAAATGCAAATATTATATGGAACACTGATAATTCCTCCTTTCATAATTTGTGAATACCTTTTGTCTGATATTTTCTCCTTTCATAATTTGTGAATACCTTTCATGTGGGGAATAAAGGGTGAGTATGGATATTTAGTCAGGAAAAGACAGACCATGGTGATGACTAATAAGGTGTCCTGCTTGCATCCATTCTGTCTTATGTCTGTATTAAGTTTCCAGGGTATTTGGTTCCCAGTTAAAAACCATAATGTTCTGTATCCTTTGCAGCTAAGTATGGTCGCATAAATCAATTCTATCTACCAAGATGCAAGAAGAAACAGATCTAACTTTTGGGTTGGGCCTTTAAAATGAAAGGTATTTACATTCCCTCTGGTCCTTCTCCCTTCCTGTTAGCTAGGATTTATTCATGAACTAGGAGGAAGAAAGCCATTTTGAATCGAGAGATAGAAACAAAAAATTTATGATGATAGATCAAGAAGAGAAGTTAAATCTGTTTCCCCAATACTATGGTTCTTAATTATTGGAGAATAATATTTAATCTAAAAATGTTAAAAGTAAATATATATATTGTTGACTCTCCTATGATATATAGACCTTCAAAAATAGCATCTTATAACATAAATCCAAAATAATAGGCCTCCAACTTAATTTTTCCAATCTACACTTGCCTCACTAAAATCGATTCTCTTCACTGCAGCAAAAGGTAATATTTTCAAATAAAAATTAGAGTTCTCCATCTACATTAGATGTTGGAAGCTGAAAACAAAATTATCGCAATAAGAAAAAAAACATTTAATTTACAAAATCCTAATTCTTTTTGGAAACATTGGAGATCTGAAGCTACAAGAACCTAAGTGAACTGGATTCCAAAGAGTGAAACGTCCCTCCAAATAGAGATGGGACACAGAAACCATTTCACCTTTGACGAAGCACAAAAGGAAGTTATTAGTTAAGAATAAATAAAAGCGGAGTGGAGTTCACATCCACTCAAAAGTTATTTTCCACAGGCCACTTTCAGGTGCTCAAAACAAGGCAGGAAAAGTGCTTCCCTAGGTGGCACAGACATGCCTGTAGTGAACACGTCTGACTGACTCTAGAACAAACATAAAACACTGCCCATTCCCTCGATACTTCTTTTTCATATAAAGCCAAAACTTACGCCACTGAGAGAAGGAACAACAAGAAACCTTGTCCCCTGGGCCCAGGAAATGCTTCACTACTTCTGAGAGAGTCTCTAAGTCCCACGCTAAGCACAAAGTAAGAGCAGTTCACCACTGGAGGAATCTGAAGCCTGCAGTGGACTGAAGGTAATGATAGCAACAAGAAAAATATCAATCCAACTCAATTACTAATTAGATTCACTCAACCCTCCCACAACACACACACATAGGCTAACAGCCTGAGACAATATGAGGAGCACCTGCTTCTGGACATAAGCACTGTTTTTTACACAATATCAGGCATTTAGTTTAAAAATAATCAAAAGACACACAAAAAAGGCAAGAGAGAAAGCAATTAACACAACTAAACTCAATGATGACTCCGATGTAAGAATTGTCAAGCAAGGAATTTAAAATACCCACAAAAACATATTTTTAAATCTAGAAAGGTGGACAAAAGGCATGAGCTGTTAAATAATTTCAGCAGAAAGATAAAAACTATAAAGAAAATTTAGGTCAAGATGGAGTGAGTACAACTTCCATCTCCCAGTGATTACAACTGAAACTGTAGACAAAATATTTTAAAATTATATGAGTACTCTAAAACATATAAAACAATAAAATCATAACAGATAAATTGGGAACTAAAGTCAAAAATTTAGTACTAAACTCTAGTAAGTATGAGTTTTCTCAGGAGGCAGAGGCCATTCTAACTTTGCCTCTCTGTTTTGACCCAAGGGTGGGCTGAATCCAGTAACTGTCCAGTAAAAGCTGATAGCAAAACTCTCAGAGATACCATGTATTTCTAGTTATAATATTGGGGAAGAAAAGGATTGGTGCCTGTGGAAGTTTGAAAGGAGAATCTATGTGTTTTGTTTCTTTTTTGTTGTTGTTGTTTTCCCTTTTCTTTATTGGTTCTAAGCAAGGCTGGCTATATTTGGTTCTAACCAATTACAGAATTGCACCACCACAGCAAAAACGATCAGGTGCTCAAAATGCTGAGAAAATAATTTTCTGAGACCAGAGAAACCAGGAAATAGGACCTGTGTTGTCCAGAGTGTGAAGTGAATACTCATTATTTTTTCTTTCATTTTCTCTTGTCATTTTATCCCAAAGTTGGCCAAGGTACGTGGAACCACACAATATCACAGAAGACTGAAACAATAAGACAACTCCAAACTCTGTCCAGAAGAACTGGGCAAAGGGTTCTCTGGGAGCCAGAAAGTGTGAGAGAAATCCTGGATTATGGTATTAAATCAAGCAAAGTTGCAAAAAGTAACTGCCTCAAACTTCAGGGAAGCTCTGAAGACTACAATTCATAGCTCAGCATTTTACCCATCAATGGGGTAGAGGAGACAAATAATTTACTTTCCTGCACCTTTTAGTTATAAAAACATGACTGCACCCAAAAAGATATATATTTCCAAGGACTTCTGACGCTTTCAGTGTGTAGGAAAAGTGGGTTCCAGAAGCCTGAGGGCATTCCTCCAAAAAGAGATGCAGATGCTAGCAGTAGGGACAGAAAACACACTGGGTACCAGACTGTAAGAAAATGATAAAGGAATCAAGAGAAGATGTCAGTGGAATAGTAATATTTGCTACACTCCCATAGCTTTATCTGTTTGGCTTGAACTAATTCTTGCCCAAATATTTTCCTAAATGAACAAGAAAGCATTACACTTACCTAGAGAATTCAGTTGTACCAGACATCTCTTTTTCCCTTAAAGTTGAAGAAACTACAGCCATATATATACATATGTACACACACACACACACACACCTATATCTATATCTATTACAGCCATATTTAGAGAACACATTTAATTGCCTTGATGAAAATTAAATGTGTGGGATTGGGTGCAGTGGCTCACACCTGTAATCCTAGCATTCTGGGACGCCGAGGCAGATGAATTTCTTGAGCCCAGGAATTTGAGGCCAGCCTGGGCAACATGGTGAAACCCTGTCTCTACAAACAGTACAAAAAATTCGCTAGGCATAGTTATGCGTACCTGTAGTCCCAGCTACCATAGGGCCTGAGGTGGGAGGATCACTTGAGGCAGGGAGGTCGAGTCTGCAATGAGCCATGATTGTGCAACTGCACTCTAGCCTGGGTGGCAGAGTGAGATCCTGTCTCACAAAAAAGAAAATGGAAGAAAATGTATAAATTTGAAGTGCATATTTATACGTTATTGAAAAATTGATAAACCTATCTGAGCTGGATTGGTGACTTTGGAGAAAGAAATGGAATCTTCCAATTTAGGTCTGAGCCAGGACTCAGGTAATCAATTCAAAATCATTAATAAATTGATAGAGGGCTACGGCTCTACAGAAAAAAAATACATTTCAATCAACATTTTATTGGTATATCTTCCTACATGCTAGTAGGAATTGGTTAGAGAGTGCTTCACACATTATGAACAAAGTTTCACTGGCAGTACATGCTGTTTATAGTTTCATGCTACTTATTCAATTTTATGATTCAGCTTCTGGCATGATTGTTATCAACAATGCCATTTTTACTAACCTGTGCAGATGCTTCTGCTCACAACATACCATTCACCAAGCACCATCATCCCAGAGCAACCTCACACCTGCTCTGATGTGGTCACTGAATACCACTTCTAATTTGCGTTGTTACTTCTACTGGTTCCACTGCTCCTAAAACTGGCTTTGCCATCGCTGGATGTTACCACCATGTTTTAGGGGCACTACTGTCATTTCTTCCAGTGGTCACCAGTTCCATGGCTGCAATTCTTCTCTTACAAGCCCTTGTTAAACTTTTTGAACATCTCTACCAATCTTGGGCATCTCTGACTTAAACTTACCACATTCATTGCACCAGACTCACAATGTACCATACCTGTACAATGTTCTGTGGCCAAATGTGGGGAAATGTTTCTCTCTCTTTTTTTTAATATCACTCTCTATTGGAAACTTGGTTTTTGTTTTACTCATATTCTTATATCTATTTTATATCTTTACTATTTAATAACTGTTATGATGAATACTGTTATCCTAAAAACATACAAAATATGTTTTAAGATTTAATAAAAATGCTGTTAGAGAGAACTTTAAGAATTTCTGTATACTAGAAATAAAAATTTTAAGAAAAAAAAACACTAATACTGAAACTATAGCCCGCAACTTAGGCAGGAGAAAATGGATCCATTTATACCAAATCAAACTATACTTAAGTTTCAGAACAAACAGTAAAAACAGACCTATTAAGACTGTCATGGACATGATATAATTCTATATAAAATTTAAAGACTCTGCCAAAAGGCTCCTAGAGCTGATAAACAACTTCAGTAAAGTTTCAGGATATAAAACCAATGTACAAAAATCAGTAGTGTTGCTATGTACCAGTAGCAGTCAAGCTGGGAGCCAAATCAAGAATGCAATTCAACTTAAAACAGCCAGAAAAAAATAGCTAGTAATACATTTAACTGAGGATGCGAAGGATCCTACATGTAGAACTACAAAACACTGCTGAAAGAAATCATAGATGACACAAACAAATTGAAAAACATGCCATCCTCATAGACTGAAAGAACCAATATCATGAAAATAAGTATACTACCCAAAGCGATCTGTAGATTTAATGCTATCTCTATCAAAATATCAACATTATTTTTCACAGAATTAGAAGAAACTATTCTAAAATTCACATGGAAACAAAAAAAAAGAGCTCAAATAGCCAAAGTAATCCTAAGCAAAAATAACAAAGCCAGAGCCATTATATTACTTGACTTCAAATTATACCATAAGGCTACAGTAAACCAAACAGGTTTTTTCTTTACTAATATAAAAGTAGACACATAGAACAATGGAATAAGATATAGAACCCAGAAGTAAAGCCACACACCTACAGCCATCTGATCTTTGACAAAATTGACAAAAAGTGAGCAATGGGGAAATTATTTCCTATTCATTAAATGGTGCTGGGATAGCTGGCTAGTCAAATGTAGAGGAATGAAAGTGGATCTCCACTTTTAACTTTATACAAAAATTAACTCAAGATGAATTAAAGATTTAAATGTAAGACTTCAATCTATAAGAATCCTAGAAGAAAACCTAGAAAATATCATTCTGGACATTGGCTTTGGGAAGGAATTTATGACTAAGTTCTCAAAAGAAATTTCAACAGAAACCAAAATCGACAAATGGGACCTAATGAATCTCAAGAGCTCTTGCACAGCAAGAGAAACTATACAGAGTAAACAGGCAACCTACAGAATGGAAGAAAACTATGCATCCCATAAAGGTCTAACATCCGGAATCTGTAAGAAACTTAAACGATTCAACAAGCAAAAAAACAAATAAGCCCTTTAACAAGTGTACAAAAGGCATGAACAAACATTTCTCAAGAGAAAATATATAAGTGGCCAACAGACATGTGAAAAAAATGTTCAACATCACTAATCATCAGAGAAATGCAATTAAAACCACAATGAGATATCATCTCACACCAATCAGAATGGCTATTACTAAAAAGTCAAACAATTATAGATGCTGGCAAGGCTGCATTGAAAGGGAATACCTATACACTGTTGGTGGAATGTAAATTACTCCAGCCACTGTGGAAAGCAAGTTGAAGATTTCTCAAAGAACTAAAAATAGAGTTATCATTCAACCTAGCAATATCATTGCTGGGTATATATCCAAAGGAAACTAAATCATTCCACCTGTATTTTCATCACCGATGTTCACAATCACAATAGCAAGGATGTGGAATCAGCTTAGATTCCCATCAACATTGGATTGGATAAAGAAAATTTGGTACATATACACCACAGAATACTATGCAGCCATAAAGAAGAATGACATAATTTATTTTGCAGCAACATGGGATGCAGCTGGAGGCTATTATCCTAAGCAAATTAATGCAGGAACAGAAAACCAAACACCAAATTTTCTCACTTATAATTGGGACCTAAGTGTTTGGTACACATGGACATAAAGACGGGAATGACAGAGGGCTACCTGAGTCGAGGAGGAAGGAGGGGGCAAAACTCTGAAAAACTACCTATTGGGTACTATGCTTACTACCTGAGTGATGGGGTTATTTGTACCCCAAACTTCAGTATCACACAATATACCCATCTAACAAACCTGAACCTATATCATCAGAATTGAAAATAAGAGTTGAAATTATATTTTAAAAATTAACTGTCATGGGCATTATAATACTGCATTCATTCTAATTGCTTAGCATCTCTGCTCCACCTCTCCAACTCATACTGAGCAGTCAGCAGTCAAAGAGTTTCGTTCCGGCTTAAACTAGTTATACACTACTTAAATAAACTGATGTGTCTTATGAAGATGGTGCCCAACATAAGTGGAGTGAGAAAGAGTTGCAGAGAAAATTCAGAAGTAACTTTAGATTTTCACAGGCTACAGAATATTGCAAAGAAGGAAAAAGAGCAGCTCACTCTGACATTTGGCTTCAGGATATTACCCACTGTTACATTTAACAGAATGAATGTCTACGCCCCAAAATAAGGTAGCAAACTCAGGAACCTGAGAATCCTGAATAAAAGCTACCCACACCATTTTCCTAGTACCTGTCACACTACTTTAACTGTCCCAAAGGGAAGATATCTTCAAAGTTCTGAAAGAAAAAACAATCTGTCAATTTAAAATTTTATAACCACTGAAAATACATTTCAAAAATGAAGACAAAATACCACATTTCCAGACATCTGAAATCTGAAATAATTTCTCACTAGCAGATTTACACTATAAGAAATATTAAAGAATGTCTTCAGTCAGAAGAAAAATATCACTCTCTTATCTGAATGTATTAATTAAATTAGAAGTCAATTGCAAAATAAAATACTTAAATATTTGGAAATTTAAAAGTTTTAAAATTAAATAATTTTAAATAATTTATCATTCAATAAATATATCAATAGATTGAATACAAACTATTTAGATCTGAGAGATAAAAACACTAAAAAGCAACGTTTATGTGATGTAGCTAAAACAGTACTCAGAGAAAAAGTAATAGCTCTTAACATTTGTATTGCAAAAGATAAATGGTCTCAATGAATGACTTCTGATCTCCCATTTGAAATAGAGAAAAAGAGAATATCAAACACAAAGTCAAGAAAAGAAAGGGGTGCTCGCTTTGGCAGCATAAATACTATAATTGGAACGACACTGAGTAGATTAGCATGGGCCCTGCGCAAGGATGACACTTAAATTCGTGAAGTGTTCCATATTTCTGGAGCTTCTAACTAGAATGAACAGTTTAGAGAGGAACTTAAATGACCCAGGGAGCTGAAAAACCAGCATGAGAACTTTGTGAAGCATACACAAGTATCAATAGCTGAATCGATCAAGCAGGAGAAAAAGTGTTAGAGTTTGAAGCCCATCTTGCTGAAATAAGTCAGGCAGACAAGATTAGAGAAAAAAATAATGAAAAGGAAGAAATAAAACCTCCGAGAAATATGGGACTATGTAAAATTACTAAACTTACAATTGATTGGAGTACTTGAAAAAGATGGGGAGAATGGAACCAAGTTGGAAAACACACTTAAAGATATTACTCAGGAGAATTTCTGCAACCTAGCAAGACAGGCCAACATTCAAATTCAGGAAATACAAAGAACATTACTAAGATACTACACAAGATATCAACCCCAAGACACATAATCATCAGATTCTCCATGGTTGAAATGAAGGAAAAAATGTTAAGGGCATCCAGAGAAAGGCCAAGTCACCTACAAAGGGAAGTTCATCAGACTAACAGCAGATCTCTCAGCAGAAGCTCTACAAGTCACAAGAAAGTGGGGGACAATAGTCAACATTCTTTTTTTTATTATTATTATTTTTTATACTTTAAGTTTTAGGGTACATGTGCACAATGTGCAGGTTAGTTACATATGTATACATGTGCCATGTTGATGTGCTGCACCCATTAACTCGTCATTTAACATTAGGTATATCTCCTAATGCTATCCCTCTCCCCTCCCCCCACCCCACAACAGGCCCCAGTGTGTGATGTTCCCCTTCCTGTGTCCGTGTTCAATTCCTGTGTCCATTGTTCAATTCCCACCTATGACTGAGAACATGCAGTGTTTGGTTTTTTGTCCTTGCGATAGTTTGCTGAGAATGATGTTTTTTTTTGTTTTGTTTTGTTTTGTTTTTGAGACAGAGTCTTGCTCAGTCGCCCAGGCTGGAGGGCAGTGGCGCAATCTCAGTTCACTGCAAGCTCTGCCTCCCGGGTTCATGCCATTCTCCTGCCTCAGCCTCCTGAGTAGCTGGGACTACAGGCGCCCGCCACTACACCCAGCTAATTTTTTTTTTTTTTTTTTTTTTTTTTTTTTTTTTTTTTTTTTTTTTTTTGAGACGGAGTCTCGCTGTCGCCCAGGTTGGAGTGCAGTGGCGCGATCTCGGCTCACTGCAGGCTCCGCCTCCCGGGTTCACGCCATTCTCCTGCCTCAGCCTCCCGAGTAGCTGGGACTACAGGTGCCCGCATTTTTTTTTTATTTTTAGTAGAGATGGGGTTTCACCATGTTAGTCAGGATGGTCTTGATCTCCTGACCTTGTGATCCACCCGTCTCGGCCTCCCAAAGTGCTGGGATTACAGGCGTGAGCCACCGCGCCCGGCCTATTGTAGAGATCTTTCACTTCCCTAATTAACTGTATTCCTATGTATTTTATTATTTTTGTAGTAATTGTGTTGGGGTTGTTTTCCTGATTTGGCTCTCAGTTTGAAAGTTGGTGGTGTATAGGAATGCTACTGACTTTTGTACATTAATTTTGTACCCTGAAACTTTGATCACATCGTGCATCAGATCTAGAGGCTTTTCAGCAGATACTATGGGGTTTTCCAGGTTTACAATCAGACCATCTGCAAACAGGAATAGTTTGAGTTCCGCTCTTCCTATTTGGATGCCTGTAGTTCTTTCTCTTGCCTAATTGCCCTGGCCAGAACTTCCAATATTACATTGAATAGGAGTGGTGAGAAAGGCATCCTTGTCTTGTGTTGGTTTTCAAGGGGAATTTTTTCAGCTTTTGCCTATTCAGTATGATGTTCCCTGTGGGTTTTTCAAGATGTTCCATATTATTTTGAAGAATGTTCCTTCACTGCCTAGTTTTGTTTAAAACATGTTGAAATTCATGGAAAGCCTTTTCTGCATCTGTTGAGATGATCATGTGGTTTTTGTTTTCAGTTATGTTTATGTGGTAAATCACATTTATTGATTTGTATATGTTGAACCAAACTTGCATTCCAGGAGTAAAGCGTACTTGATCATGGTGGATTAGCTTTTTTGATATACTGTTGGATTTGCTTGACTGCTATTTTGCTGAGGATTTTTTGCATCTATGTTCATCAAGGATATTGCCCTGAAGTTTTCTTTTATTGTTGTGCCTCTGCCAGGTTTTGGTATCTAGATAATGCTGGCCTCATAGAATGAGTTAGGAAGGAGTACCTCCTCCTCAATTTTTTGGAATAGTTTCAGGAGGAATGGTACCAACATTTCCTTTTACATCTGGTAGAATTAGAGTGTGATCTGCCTAGTGCTGGGCTTTTTCTGATTGGCAGGCTTTTTATTACTGACTCAATTTTGGAACATTTTATTGGTCTGTTCAGGATTCAAACTCTTCCTGGGTCAGTGTTTGGATCAGCTACTTGAGAGGCCGAGTCAGCCATGCTGGAGTGCAGTGGCCCAATCTCAGCTCACTGAAATCTCCACCTCCTGGGTTCAAAGAGATTCTCTTGCCTCAGCCTCACGAGTAGCTGGGGTTACAGGTGTACACCCCGCCCAGCTAATTTGGCTAATTTTTGTATTTTTAGTAGAGATGGGGTTTCACCATGTTGACCAGGCTGGTCTCGAACTCCTGACCTCAGGTGACCCACCCACCTTAGCCTCCCAAAGTGTGGGATTACAGGTGTGAGCTACCATGCCTGATCTCTTTCTAACTTTTTGATGTGGGTATTTAGTAATATAACACAGTTTTGACTGTAGCAGAAATTCTGATATGTTGCATATTTTTCTCACTAATTTCAAAGAATTTATTGATTTCTGCCTTAATTTCATTATCAGCTCAGATGTCATTCAGGAGCAGGTTGTTTGATTTCCATTTATTTGTATTGTTTTCATTGATTTTCTTAGCATTGATTTCTATTTTTATTGCACTGTCATTCAAGAGTGTGGTTGTTATGATTTCAGTTTTTTTGTATTTGCTGAGGGTTGTTTCATGCCCAATCGTGTGGTCAGTTTCAGAGTTTGCACCGTATGCAATGAGAAGAGTGTATATCCTGTTGTTTTGGGGTGGGTATTAAGGTGGATTGTGCCCAAAAATATTATACCCAGTAAATATACCTGTGGTGCTTATCAGTGGAGTGCAGCATATAACTACACAGCTCTATTTTGTGGTAATTCAAGAAAAAATTTGGCCGGGCACAGTGGCTCATGCTTGTAATCCCAGCAATTTGGGAGGCCAAGGTGGGCAGATCACTTGAGGTCAGGAGTTCAAGACCAGCCTGGGCAACACAGTGAAAACCCATTTGTACTAAAAATACAAAAATTGACTGGGCATGGTAGCAGATGCCTGTAATCCCAGCTACTTGGGAGGCTGAGGCACGAGAATCACTTGAACCTGGGAGGCAGAAATTGCAGTGAGCCAAGATTGTGCCACTGCACTCCAGCCTGGGCAGCAAAGACAGGCCTTGTTTAAAAGAAAAAAAAGAAAAAGAAAGAAAGAGAGAAACAGAGAAAGAAAGAAAGAAAGAAAGAAAGAAAGAAAGAAAGAAAGAAAGAAAGAAAGAAAGAAAGAAAGAAAGAAAGAGAAAAGAAAGAAAGAAAGAAAGAAAGAAAGAAAGAAAGAAAGAAAGAAAGAGAGAGAGAGGAAGGAAGGAAGGAATGATTCAAGGAGAGTAACAAATTCTTTAGTAATAGATAGAAGGAGACCTGTACTCAGTTACTCATTCGTTTATCTGAAACAACCAAAAAAAAAAAATCACAAATAAGGCAAGAAAAATAGAAACATGCAGAAAGTGACACAGTTCTGCTTCTAATTACATTTCCTCCAATGCCTTTGCTATCTTTTGGCTAAATTTGCTGTTCGTGTTCTCCAGGTTCCACAAGCATTGCCACACACATCACCTTCCAATATTTAGTATTTTATTTAAAAAATGTGCATGTACAAAAATTTAAAAAGGATTAAGTGTGTATTATATAGAATTACAGTAAAATTAATACAACTATGTAATCACTTTGCAGCTATGATGGATGCTGTATGTGCCACTGAAATTACCTTTCTCTAATAATGAGACTTCATTTTCTCAGTTGCCAAGAGTTTTGGCTTTTCACAACTCATGGTTAATACTTTTATAGAAACTGCTTTTGGACAAAAGCTGTTGGCTTTTCCAAAGTCACAGTACTTCCCTGGGACAGAACTCATTCAATTACAGGTTTACAGGTGAGTACAAATGCTCAACACCATTGCCTTGAATAAGACAAATTTTAAATGAAATCTGAGCTTCAGAGCTCACCATTGAGTCAGCTGAGCCTCCTGCGTTTTTTCTATAGTTCAATTTCTTTTTCTGTCTAACCTTACTTCTCTCACACCTTTACAGGTATTTTTTTCACAAGAGCACTGCCTAGCAAGGTCCATGAATGCAAATTTCTGCCTCAAAGTCTGTTTCCCAAGGAATCTAACCTATAGGGTTGATAACAATGTTGATCCTAGAAAGCAGAATTTAAAATGGGATTTTAGAAATGCACTATTCACTGGGCTCCTGGCAATGAGGACCCTAATTAAAAGTAGCAGATAGAATACTAATAGCTGTGACATGGCATAGAAGTGCAATTGTTAAAACGTACACTGGTGATTAACTGGTCTGGAATACTAGTCAAAATGAATGCATTTGGTGGGCACACTATCTGAAGTATTTGAGACATATGGAAAAATAATAAGTACTATGGAATTGGATGGGGTTAACCATGCATTGAAGAAAAACACTGAAAGGTTTACAGTGATTAATCACCAATTTAAGGTGACATGTTTGGAAGTATATAAAGAAACTCATTTGCTGTGGTAAGAAGGCAGAAAAAGATCATCAGGTACAGGATTTAATTACAGTGGTAGCAGAGATCCAGAAAAGGATAATGTTCAGTTACAGCATGTCTGGTCAGCTAACTAAGATCAGTGCCTTATTGGGAAGGCATGGGACTCTAGACTCAGGATAGGGACATCTAAGTCAATGTACTTGAAAAATTCAATTCCTAGTTTACCCTGAGCTCTCTGCACCTGAAGAATTGGTCCACTCCTTGTTAGAGGGTAATGGTCCCTTTTGCTGGAATATGATGCAGAACCTCTCCCTTAAAAGACATCATGTGAATGACCTCGGGATTTGCTGCCCTCTCTCATCTTGAATACCAAAACAATAAGTACAGTCACGTTACAACAGAAATTAGCTGGAAAAATACTGGCATTGTGAAAGGTTAAAAGGGAATTTGCAGAAGTTGCTGCAGAACCTAGCCACATACATACACCAACAAGAGGCACAGGAGTATGTAGAATTGAATTCTGATGGTACCAGATAGGTGTGTAGGAATGGGTTTGTGGCAGAAATTTGGATAAGGGAATGCTTGTTCATATGGAAAGTCTGTCCATGATAAAAGATTTAAAACATTGACAAGGATCCCAGGAAATATTACTAACAAGTTGCTAAGATAATTCTTAGAAGTTCAGAAAAAATATGACACATAATATGGGATAAAGAAATTCCAAAATTTCCATAGAAGACACTAGAGAAAAAAACAAAAAGCTCAAATAAGTGGCTAAGTGGCCATGCTAGAAAATCCACCTATTCTAGAAGATACTCTATTAACAAAGCAATAAAAATTTCACTTTTGACAAGGGCAGCAGAATTGTTGAAAAAGTTGATGTTGTCTGTTCTTTGGGCCTAGGGCTGATGGCAAGAGATACTCTTAAATGCTAATTTATTTGATAGCAATGGAGATGAAAGTAATTCAAGGTAAATTCCTATTGACAGCAAGAAGAGCCTGACTCACCGAGATCTCTATAGATAGTGACTTGAGCATTATGTTTCTGGAGGCAAAATAGATGGACATCAACAATGGTATAGATTAGTTTATGCAAACAAAATAAATCAAGGATGAATATTGAGAAGCCTAGGGACACAATTCTCATAAAAATTCACGGCATCTTGCTCAGTTTATGGAACTGATCTAGTTCTCAGGTGTAGAATGACTGAGTCTCTAAGAGAAAGAATCCTACAATATTACAAATATTTACAGGACTGATTTCCCCAGACCTCTCTCCAAATTAACCTAAGGCCATTTCTCAGGTTATTGTGAGAGGATAACTGAACTTTTCAAGGACTGTTGCATACAGTGCCTCAGATGATATTTAAACCAGGCCCTAAGTATCGTTACATCGTCCCATTAGATTGAATATGTATGAGAGACTTGGCTTAGTCTGGTTCACAGTGTGTTCATGTGGTCCATGGATCCACATGATGATAATATTCCTGGATGACAAATGTATAATTTACTCGTATATTTGTTATTATCATTATCTTTCAGAAAGAGTCTTGCTGTGTCACCCAGGCTGGAGTACAGTGGCATAATCATGGCTCACTGTAACCTCAAACTCCTGGGCCCAAGTGATCCTCCTGCCTCAAGCTCTCAAGTAGCTGTAACTATAGGTGCAGGCAACTGTGACTGGCCAATTGTATTTTTGTTTTTGTTTTTGTTTTGTTTTTTACTGATGAGGTTTGCTATGTTGTCCAAGCTTCTTGGAAACTCCTGGACTCAAATGTTTTTCCTGCCTTGACCTCCTAAAGGGTTGGGATTATAGATGTGAGAGACCAAGCCTGGTTTATAAATATATAATTAGAATAAAGATACTTAATAGTTATCAGAATACACAGATTTATTCCTTTGCCAGTGGGTTAAGAGCTATTATAATCAGAAAAAGGCAAATGGTGGATTCTGAAACTGCTCCCCACTGGGCAAGATAGTAATGTAAAAATAGTATAACCTCCCCCAGGAATGAGAAAGGCCAAGATAGTGCCGCTTCAAAAAATACTGTAGGGATGGTCTCCATAATACACCATTTAATTTGCCAGTCTGTCCCCTACAAAAACCAGAAGTATGCTGGCAAATGCCAATGGATTACAAAAAACTCAACCATGTAGTAGTTCTAATTGCAACTGCTAGAGTAGATCAACATAGGCTCAGCTACATGGCATGTGGCCATTGATCTGGCAAGGGAGTTCATTTCTATCCTGGTCATAACAAAATTAGTTCTCATTCATATTAGTCAGGCAAAGATATTCATCTACTGTCCTGTCCCAAGAACATGTTAATCTCTTGCCCTCCATTATAATATAAGCCAAAGGTATTGGACTGTCTGGACTTTCTGCAGAACACTTTTGTTCACTATACCACTGACATCATGTGATTTGTAACAGATGAACAAGAATTTGCAGGCATGTTAGTGACCTTTGTAAGAAACGTACACTAAAGAAGGTGGAAAATAAATCCTATAAAAAACTTAGCAACATGACATATAAGTAAAATGTTTAGGGGTTTAGTGGTCTGAGGCCTGCCAAAAAAGCTATTTTAAATTAAATAATGGTTTTTTAATCTATATTATAATTTTGCCCCTTTCTCTACTAAGATGGAAACACAATGCCTGGTAGACTTCTTTAGATTCTAGAAGCAACATATCACATGTGTGAACATCTTTCTCTAGTCGATATTCCTGGTGATGTAAAAGGCTGCTAGTTTTTAGTGGGGCTTTGTATAAGAAAGAGCTCCTTAGGACATCCAGATTGCAGTGAAGCTGTCCTAATGCTTGGACCATAAGACTTACCAGTTTTTATTCTATCTTTGATGGAATAAGATGCTAAACAACATAAGTGAAGTTCATGGCCAGCCACAAAAGGAGAATCTTCTGGGGTTATAGTGTATGGTCATGCCTTCTATTCAGCATTAAAAATAGCCCCTAGCAAGGTACTATGCCCTGATAGAGGCAGAGTATCTGATTTTGGGACCTCAAGTGATTGTGAAGCTATAACTGGAAGTTTGTCATAAGCTAAAGTCTCCCAGATCCACTAAGTCATAAAACCTGATGGGCCCTACAGCAACCAAGTGCAAAACTGAATATATCTGGGATTAGGCACAAGCCAGACCAAAGGCACAAATAATTTACAAGATCAGAAATTCGAGACCCCACATTAGCCACTACTGTCATGTTAGTTCTCCTTGGCTCTTACCTATTGCTGCATGGGTTGGGGATGCCCCTCATTTTCAGCAGAAGGAAGAGAAAAAGTGCTAGTTTAGTTCGTAGATAAGATGGCATAATATATGGGTCCAAGACAAAAATAAACTTCTGCTTTGTGTCAGACTCATTCAAGGTGTTCTGGAAATCTACTTGTGATAGAAGTTTAGCACTGCACCTTATCATTCACTTTGTGTAGAAAGAAAAGTCGTGAAGTAAGAACATTCATGAAATTGCAGGTAGTGGGAAACAAAGGACAGATTTGCCAGGACCCTGCAAGCAGAAATAGTGAAAGGTGAAGAATGAGAAAAATGTAAGAAACAGGCATATTGATGGACTCATAAGGGTTGGAATAAACTGTTAAGACCTTTACACTAAAAGAAAAAGAAATAGAAAGAAGCACCTACCATGGAAGAAGTTATTTGATTTGACTTTTCTGACCATCAGGCTTCTGTAAACACCACGCTCTGGAACATACTGAGTGATCTAACAATAAGGGGTTGTGCATAACAACACTTCAGGAAAAAAGCAGCTTTTTTTCTGTAAATAATGCACTTTACAGTAAAAGAGTTGTAGCAATAGACACAAAACCTTGGAAAACACTGGCTCTGTCACATATTGGATCACCCAGAAGCTGCTAGCCAGTTAAAAATTGGAACAGCCTTATGACAGTGTAGCTAAGACAGTTGCTTGGAATTGTATCCTGGTAGAATAAGACGTCATAATCTAGAACAAGAATATATTCTAAATCAATAATCATTTTATAGTGCAGTGTTTCAGGAGGTTGAATACATTGGGTGTGGAACCCAAAAGATGGAAATAGAAATAAACCCACTTTTCACTTGCAGTGAGTGTCTTGGAGAATGAGTACTTCCCATTTCTACAATTCTGTGCACTTTGGGTCTATAAACCCTGCTTCTCAGAGGGAGGACATTTCCACCAGAGGACACTAGTAAATGTTCATTAAGAAGTTCTATGGCTGCTCTGTCTCCTTGGGCTTCTTGTGCCCAAAGAGCCTACTTAAATAAATAAGTCAATATAATGACAGCTTAAATTGGCCCCCATTATTAAGAGGAAATAGGCGCTACTGTCAAAAATAGGGAAGGGGAAGAATATGTTTGACAATTATATAGTTCAATATGGTACCTCTTGCTTCTTTTTTTTTTTTTTTTTTTATATTTTTTGAGACTGAGTCTAGCTCTGTAGCCCAGGCTGGAGTGCAGCGCAGGATCTCAGCTCATTGCAGGCTCCGCCTCCCAGGTTCATGCCATTCTTCTGCCTCAGCCTCCCGATTAGCTGGGACTACAAGCGCCCGCCACTACACCTGGCTAATTTTTTGAATTTTTAGTAGAGACAGGGTTTCACTGTGTTAGCCAGGATGGTCTCGATCTCCTGACCTCGTGATCCACCTGCCTTGGCCTCCCAAAGTGCTGGGATTACAGGCGTGAGCCTCCGCACCTGGCCACCTCTTGCTACTTTTTGACCAACTTTGATGATAAATGAAAGATGTGCAACAGCAATCTGAGAATGCATGGTGACCAGTGGTGCAGATCCCTGACCAAATAAGCCTTATCGACCACAAGAGATGCTATCTAAGGGAGACGCGTATCTAAAATAGTTACAGAGAAGGAAAATATTGACACCAGTTGTCCTCTAGATTAGCTGCTGCCATGGGCCTGTGGTTCATCTCATTCTTTCTTCTTTTAAGTTTCTTCAAGAAAAAAAGACAAACTAGAGTCCCAGAGAAACGATTTGCAAATGGGGAGAACTTTCTACACAAAGTAGATAAAAACACAGCAAAAAGTTGGCAGTAGTAAATTCTCTGGTGTTTCGTCCAGATTCCCCTTTCACAATTGTTTGCTAGAGATGCCATAACAAAATACCCAAAACTGGGAGACTTAAACAACATAAATCTATTTTCTCATACTTTTGGAGCCTAGAAGTCCAAGATCAAGGTGTCAGCAGATTTGGTATCTTTTGAGGCTTTTCTCCTTAACTCGCAGTTGGCTGCCTTCTTGCTGTGTCCTCATGTGGTCTTTCCTCTGTGCCCCTGATGTCTCTTTGTAGGTCCAAATTTTCTCTTCTTATAAGAACACCAGTCACATTGTATTAGGACCCTCCCTTACAGGCTAATTTTAATTTAATCACCTCTGTAAAGGGCCTATCTCAAAGTATACTCACATTTTGAAATACTGGGGAGTTAGGGTTTCAACACATAAATTTGGGGAGAACACAATTCAGGCCAAAACAATGATTGTTATGGCTCTCAATGAGGCTCTCATTCCCAAAAGTTTATGGGACTTTTGTCTGTTGAGGCCTTCTACAGGAAATGCTCTTAACTAAAGAGACACCTGACCCAAGTCATGTCTCTTGTTGTGGACATTTTGCAATCAATGACTTGTCACTGCAAGACTACAAGGGCATAGAACACTTATCTCAATTTGGGTAAATTTTAAAGAGTTATCTTAGCTTCTAAATGTTCCGAAGGTGTTAGGCTGAGGCTTTTTTTTTTTTTTAATTTGCAAATATATTACACTTCAACCACTATCTGGCCAATTGGGCCTCTGTCACTCCCTTAACGATTATATCCTTGAGACCACTCCCCTAAAACTCCTATATGCAATGTGGCTTGGTACGCTCAGTCAATAAAAGAAAAAGAGAGTCATTACCAGAACCTCGGATTCTCTCCAAATATGGTTTCCAGTCAATTACCATCTCCATAGATGGTTTTTACTTGTTTGTGAACTTTATAAAAACAGTTTTCATTAATATATTCCTTTTTGCCTGGATGTTTACTCTCGACATTATGATTTAAAAATGTATTGATGTTGTAGAATGAGGCAGTAGTTTAAACTAATATGTAATAGTCAATTGTATGAATATACCATGATATATTTTCTACTGGTTATGAATATTTGAATTATTTTAAGTTTGGGTCTACTATGAATGATTCTACCATTAACATTCTTTCGTGTGTCTTTTGTGTGTCATAAGTGTGCATGCATTTGTATTATGTATACATAGACATAAAAAGCATATGTATTAACTATATAACTCAGAATGTATTTTCTGAGTCAGAGGATATGTATTTATTTATCTTTAGTAAATACCATCAAAAAATTTTAGACATTACATAAATATTTGTCAACCTCCCCAGCAATATAAGACAGCGTATCTTTCTTCACATTTGCCAGAACTTGCTATAATGAGTCTTCTTAATTTCACCCATTCTGGTATGTGTAGAGATATTCATTAAAAGATTAACAATTTCTCTATTGTAGAATGCCTATTCTAGTGTTCCCAGTTTTCTTTGGATTGTCTATATTATTGCTTTTAGGAATACTTTACATAATCTGGACACAAGATTTTTGTTGATTATATGCAGTATATGTATTTATTCATCTTTTTTTAGTGTATGGGCTGCCTTGTACTCTCTTGGTTGTATCTTTTTATGAACAAAAACTCCTTAGTAATTATTTCATTTATAATTTGTGTTTTTTACATACTCATTGATTCTTCCATTTTATTGAGATGTTTTATTTTGTTATTTTTTCTGGAGGTTTTCCTGATATATCTTAGAAAATCAGATTTCAATGTCTGTAATTGATTTTTTGTTTGCTATGAGGGAAGGGGTAAAGATTCATTTTTTTCCTATATGTATGTTTAATTGATCCTAGACCATTTATAGAAAAGACTGGCAATTCCTCAATGCTCTGCAGTTTCAACTTTGTCTCACATCAAGTGTTCATATATTGTGAATCTGTTTCTGATCTATATTCTGCTAGAATGGCCTATTTGTCTCTACTCGTACCTTCATCAAGCTGTCTAAATTACTGTAGTTTTCAAGTTTTAATATCTGATAGTGTAAATTATTCAACTTGACTATATATTAACTAAAGCAAAATGTTAAACAGATGGAACTGAAATAAAAGTTATACTTAATTTAATTTTGAACTTTCAGAATTTTAATATTAGCAGAGGAGGTGAAATCTATTTGAAAATCCAAATGATATTTCTTGGCAATAGGGCAGACAAGTCAGTCAGTGAAATTCTTTCCCAGTGCCGTTCACTTCAAAATGCTGAATAAAATTATTACAACCTTTTTCTGCATATTTGACTTGGTCATAAAGTTTATGAACTACTCAAAGGCCAGAAATGACAAGAAAGAAATGACAATGACAAACCTATGGTGGCAATAACCAGTTTTGAGAATAATATCTGTTGCGAGTGTTTTCTGAGGATTTCTGATTGAAGACACACTTACATAAAGCCTTATTTTCAAGATAATATCTCAATAGGTAATCTAGGTGGAGGAAAGCAAATCCGAAGTATGGGGTGGTATAGACATTGGTCTTTGCTTTAGTTATGGGAATAACAAAAAATAAATTTAAAAAATTATTGAAATCTTTTGCCATACGTGTTAATTAAATGGGTTAAACACTGAATTTCACATTATCAGAACAGCACCCAAACTTCGTTGCTAAAAAATTTAAAGAGATGCTTGGAATTAATTTAAAAGTATATTATCTTATTTTAACTTTTTTGTTCATGGTAACTATTGACATTAAGCATCTTTTCAACTTATTGGTGCTTACTATACAGTGAGGACTAAAGTCTCACCTTTTTAAAATTTATTCTCTTGCCCAAATTCTTGACAAAGGGGTCTGGGGAGTCACCCCCTACAAAATCATAAAGTCTCATCAGAAGGGTTTTATTTAACCCTATATAACATGGCCTGCTTTCCAACCTGACTCTGGCATAGCATCACATAACAAATAAGGAAATAAATAAAAATATTTTAGCCCTAAATATATTTCCTTGTCATATATTGAAACTGCCCTGCAAAATTGTCTCTTGTGGGAAAAATCTACATTCTGTAGAGAGTCTCCTTTTCCCTTTTTTCATCTTTCCAGATCCACGAGATACTCAACTAAGAGTCAGTCACCCCTTTAAGTCCAATAAAGAAACGCTTCACCACCTTGGGCACATGTTCTCAGAATCTCCTGAGGGCTGTGTCACAGGCCATGCTCACTCATATTTGGCTCAGAATAAATCTCTTCAAATATTTTACAGAGTGTGACTCTTTTCATCAATAAGAAATAAAGATATGGATATATTATATATATAATCTAATATATATAGATTAGACATATATACAGATACTTCTTGACTTATGGCGTAGTTATGTTCTGATAAACTGATTATAATTTGAAAATATTATGAATTGAATGAATTTAATACACCTAACCTACAGAACATTATAGCTTAGCTTAGCCTACCTTAAACATGCTTAGAACACATACTTTAGACCGGGCATGGTGGCTCACGCCTATAATCCCACCACTTTGAGAGGCTGAGGTGAGTGGATCACCTAAGGTCAGGAGTTCAAGACCAGCCTGGCCAACATGGCAAAAATAAAAAATTATCTACTAAAAATAAAAAAATTAGCCCAGCGTGGTGGTGGGCACCTGTAATCCCAGCTACTTGGGAGGCTGATGCAGGAGAATCGCTTGAACCCGAGAGGTGGAGGTTTCCATGAGCCAAGATCATGCGACTGCACTGCAGCCTGGGTGACAGAGCAAGACTCTGTCTCAAAAAAAAAAAAGAAAAAAAAAAGAATACATACTGTAGCCTATAGTTGGGTGAAATATCTAACATAAAACCTATTTTAGAATAAAATGTTAAATGTTTTATGTAATTTATTGAAAAGTACACTGTAGACATTGGTTATTAATCCTAGTGATGATGTGGTTGACTGGGAGCTGAGGCTCACTGCTTCTGCCCAGCATCCCAATAGAGTATTGCATTCCATTTCATTACCCCAAGAAAAGATCAAGATTCAAAATGTAAATTATGGTTTCTACTGAATATCTATTACTTTTGCACTATCAAAAAGTAAAAAAAATATATAAACTAAACCACTGTAAGTGGGGATCATCTGTATATGGCTAGATATATGGACAGAGAACAAAAGAGATAGAACAAGAGAGAGAGAGATTTAAATGTCTTGTCAAAACATTTGCCCATTTTCATTTAGTGTTTGTTTTCTGTATTAATCTACAGTTATTCTTTAAACTTTATATTATGAATACAAATATTTTGAAGATGAATACATTGCACATATTTTATACAAGTCAGTTGCTTCCATTTCAAAAAATTGTCCTTTCCTTAATGTCATTTTAATATCAAAATATATTAATATGGATAAACTCAAGTGTATCACTTTTTTAAGGTTAATTTTTTTGTACATTCAAAAAATCCTGGCCTACCTGAAAGTTGCAGACTTTTTTTCCTATATTTTCTTGTAGAAATTTTGCCATTTATGTCTTAAGTTTAGATTTGTGCTTCTCAAAAATTTTACCATTGCATGTAAGTTGTTGAATTTATTGAAATAATTGCTTCTATTATCTCATTTTTATTTTAGTGTTCTTTTTTATTTGTGATATTAACAAATTGTGATTTTTTTCTGAATCAATCTCGCTGTTTTAATAATTTTATTCTTTTCAAAAAACTCAATTTATATTATATTGATTTGTCTCCATTATTTTTGTTATATTCTATTTAACTGAATTATGCTTCCAGCTTTATTATTCTTTCCTTCTAGTTATTTATTTATTTATTTTTGTCTAGACTAAAGTAAAATCAGAGTTTTTGATGTTAGGTCTTCATTTTGTCAATATAAATGTTAAAATTATAAATTTTCCTCTAAGCACTGCTTTAGCTCCATCAAAAAAACTTGACATGTTATGACAATACCATTAAGTGAAAATATGTCTAATTCCCTTTATTCTTTCACTCATGGATTATTTATAAGTGTAGGGTTCACTTTTCAATTATTTGGGATTTTAAAAATTAATGTATCTTTCCTACAGATTTATAAATATAATCAGTTTTTATAAGACAGCATATTATGTTTATTTTAATCATTTAAACTTACTCATTTTTTAATTTTAAGTTTTGGGATACATGTGCAGAACACGCAGGTTTGTTATATAGATATACATGTGTCATGGTGGTTTGCTGCACCTATCAACCCTTCATCTAGGTTTTAAGTCCCACATGCATTACAAATTTGTCTTAATGCTCTCCCTCCCCTTGCTCCACACACCCCAACAGGCTCCAGCGTGTGATGTTCCCCTCCCTGTGTCCATGCGTTCTCATTGTTCAACTCCCACTTATGAGTGAGAACATGCAGTGTTTGGTTCTCTCTTCCTGTGATGGTCTGCTGAGAATGATGTTTCCAGCTTCATCCATGTCCCTGCAAAGGACATGAACGCATCCTTTTTTATGGCTGCCTAGTATTCCATGGTGTATATGTGCCACATTTCCTTTATCCAGTCTATCACTGATGGGCATTTGGTTGGTTCCATGTCTTTGCTATTGTAAATAATGCTGCAATAAACATACGTGTGCATGTGTCTTTATAGAAGAATGATTTCTAATCCTTAGGGTATATACCCAGTCATGGCATTTCTGGGTAAAATGGTATTTCTGGTTCTAGATCCTTGAGGAATCACCACACTGTCTTCCACAATGGTTGAACTAATTTACACCTTCACCAACAGTGTAAAAGCGTTCCCATTTCTCCACAGACTCGCCAGCATCTGTTGTTTCCTAACTTTTTAATGATCAACATTTTAAACAATGTGAGATGTTATCTCATTGTGGTTTTTATTTGCACTTCTCTAATGGCCAGTGATGAAGAGCTTTTTTTCTTATGTTTCTTGGCTGCATAAATGTCTTCTTTTGAGAAGTGTCTGTTCATATCCTTCACCCACTTTTTGATGGGGTTGTTTTTTTCTTGTAAATTTATTTAAGTTCCTTGTGGATTTGGGATATTAGACCTTTGTCAGATGGATAGATTTCAAAAATTTTCTCCCATTCTGTAGGTTGCCTGTTCACTCTGATGATAGTTTCTGTTGCTGTGCAAAAGCTCTTTAGTTTAATTGCATGCCATTTGTCAATTTTGGCTTTTGTTGCAATTGCTTTTGGTATTCTAGTCACGAAGTCTTTGCCCATGCTTATGTCCTCAATGATATTGCCTAGGTTTTCTTCTAGAGTTTTTATGATTTTAGGTATTACTTTTAAGTCTTTAATCCATCTTGAGTTAATTTTTGTATAAGGTGTAAGGAAGGGGTCCAGTTTCTGTTTTCTGTATATGGTTAGCCAGTTTTCCCAGCACCCTTTATTAAACAGGGAATCCTTTTCCCATTGCTTGTTTTTGTCAGGTTTGTCAAAGATCAGATGGTTGTAGATGTGTGGTGTTTTTTTTTCTGAGGCCTCTGTTCTGTTTTATTGGTCTAAATATCTGTTTAGGTACCAGTACCATGCTGTTTTGGTTACTGCAGCCTTGTAGTATAGTTTGAAGTAAAGTAGCATGATACCTTCAGCTTTGTTCTTTTTGCTTAGGATTGTCTTGGCTATATGAGTTCTTTTTTGGTTTCATATGAAATTGAAAGCAGTTTTTTCTAATTATTTGAATAAAGTCAGTGGTAGCTTGATGGGAATAGCACTGAATCTACAAACTACTTTGGGCAGTATGACCATTTTCGTGACATTGATTCTTCCTATCCATGAGCATGGAATTTTTTTGTGTGAAAAAAAAATCTTGAATTTGTCTGTGTCCTCTCTTATTTCCTTGAGCAGTGGTTTGTAGTTCTCCTTGAAGAGGCCCTACATGTCCCTTGGAAGTTGTATTCCTAGGTATTGTATTCTCTTTGTAGCAACTGTGAATGGGAGTTCACTCATGATTTCACTCTCTGCTTGTCTGTTATTGATGTACAGGAATGCTTGTGATTTTTGCACATTGATTTTGTATCCTGAGACCTTGATGAAGTTGCTTATCAGCTTAAGGAGTTTCTGGGCTGAGACAATGGGGTTTTCTAAATATACAATCATGTCATCTGCAAACAGAGACAATTTGACTTCCTCTTTTCCTATTTGAATATCCTTTATTTTTTTCTCTTGCCTGATTGCCCTGGCCAGAACTTCCAATATGTTGAATAGGAGTGGTAAGAGAGAGCATCCTTGTCTTGTACTGGTTTTCAAAGCGAATGCTTCCAGCTTTTGCCCACTCAGTATGATATTGGCTATGGGTTTGTCATTATTATTATTATTTTGAGATATATTCCATCAACACCTAGTTTATTGAGAGATTTTGGCATGAAGGAGTGTTGAATTTTATTAAATGTCTTTTCTGCATCTGTTGAGATAATCATTTGGTTTAGTCATTAGTTCTGTTTATTTGATAGATTACATTTATTGATTTGTGTATGTTGAACCAGCCTTGAATCCCAGGGATGAAGCCAACTTGGTCGTGGTGGATAAGCTTTTTGATGTGCTGGTGGATTCGGTTTGCCAGTATTTTACTGAGGATTTTTGCATTTTTGTTCATCAGGAATATAGGCCTGAAATCTTTTTTTGTTGTGTCTCTGCCAGGTTTTGCTATCAGGATGATGCTGGCCTCATAAAATGAGTTAGGGAGGGGTCCCTATTTTTCTATTGTTTGGAATAGTTTCAGAAGGCATGGTACCAGCTCCCCTTTGTACCTCTGGTAGAATTTGGCTGTGAATCCATCTGATTCTGGGCTTTTTTTGGTTGGTAAGCTATTAATTACTCCCTCAATTTCAGAACTTGTTATTGGTCTATTCAGGGATTCGATTTCTTCCTGGTTTAGCCTTGGGAGGGTGTATGTGTCCAGGAATTTATCCATTTCTTCTAGATTTTCTAGTTTATTTGTGTAGAGGTGTTTATAGTATTATCTAATGGTAATTTGTTTTTCTGTGGGATCAGTGGTGATATCTCCTTTATCATTTTTTATTGTGTCTATTTGAGTCTTCTCTCTTCTCTTTTTTATTAGTCTGGGTAGCAGTCTATCTATTTTGTTAATCTTTTCAAAAACCAGCTCCTGGATTCATTGATTTTTTTTGAAGCGTTTTTCATGTCTCTATCTCCTTCAGTTCTGCTCTGATCTTAGTTATTTCTCATCTTCTGCTAGCTTTTGAATTTATTTGCTCTTGCTTCTCTAGTTCTTTTAATTGTGATATTAAGGTATTAATTTCAGATCTTTCCCACTTTCTGATGTGGGCATTTAGTCCTATCAGTTTCCATCTTAACACTGCTTTAACTGTGTTCCAGAGATTCTGGTACGTTGTCTCTTTTTTCTCATCCATTTCAAAGAACTTCTTTATTTCCACCTTAATTTTGTTATTTACCCAGTAGTTATTCAGGAGCAGGTTGTTCAGTTTCCATGTAGTTGTGTGGTTTTGAGTGAGTTTCTTAATCCTGAGTTCTGATTTGAGTGCACTGTGATCTGAGAGACTGTTATGATTTCAGTTCTTTTGCATTTGCTGAGGAGTGTTTTATTTCCAATTATGTGGTTGATTTTAGAATAAGTGCTATGTGGCACTGAGAAGAATATATATTCTGTTGATTTGGGGTGGAGAGTTCTGTAGATGTCTATTAGGTCCCCTTGGTCCAGAGCTGAGTTCGAGTCCTGAATATCGTTGTTAAATTTCTCTCTAGTTGATCTAACATTGACAGTGGGGTGTTAAAGTCTCCCACTATTATTGTGTGGGAGTCCAGGTATCTTTGTAGGTCTCTAAGAACTTGTTTTATGAATCTGGGTCCTTCTGTATTGGGTGCATATATATTTAGAATAGTTAGCTCTTCTTGTATTGATCCCTTTACCATTATATAATGTCCTTTGTCTCTTTTGATGTTTCTTGGTTTAAAAACTGTTTTATCAGAGACAAGGATTACAACCCCTGTTTTTTTTCTTTCCATTTGTTTGGTAAATATTCTTTCATCCCTTTATTTTGAGCCTATGTGTGTCTTTGAACATGAGATGGGTCTTCTGAATACAGCACGCCAATGGGTCTTGACTCTTTATCCAATTTGTCATTCTGTGTCTTTTAATTGGGACATTTAGCCCTTTTACATTTAAAGTTAATATTGTTATGTGTGAATTTCATTCTGTCATCATGATGCTAGCTGGTTGTTTTGCACATTAGTTGATGCAGTTTCTTCGTAGTGTTGTTGGTCTTTATAATTTTGTGTGCTTTTACAGTGGCTGGTACCAGTTTTTCCTTCCCATATTTAGTGCTTCCTTCAGAAGCTCTTGTAAGGCAGGCCTGATGGTGACAAAATCCCTCAGCATCTGCTTGTCTGTAAAGAATTTTAATTCTTCTTCACTTATGAAGCTTAGTTTGACTGGATATGAAATTCTGGGTTGAAAATTCTTTTCTTTAAGAATGTTGAATATTTGCCCCCACTCTCTTCTGACTTGCAGGGTTTCTGCAGAGAGATCCACTGTTAGTCTGATGGGCTTCCCTTTATAAGTAACCTGTCCTTTCTCTCTGGCTGCCTTTAACATTTTTTTCCTTCGTTTTAACCTTGGAGAATCTGATGATTATTTGTGTTGGGGCTGTTCTTCTCGAGGAGTATTTTAGTGACGTTCTCTGTATCTCCTGAATTTGAGTGTTGGTCTGTCTTGCTAGGTTAGGGATGTTCTCCTGGATAATATCCTGAAGTGTGTTTTCCAGCATGGTTCCATTCTCCCCATCACTTTAAGGTACACCAATCAATCGTAGGTTTGGTCTTTTCACATAGTCCCATATTTCTTGGAGGCTTTGTTCATTCCTTTTCATTCTTTTTTCTCTAATCTTGTCTTCACACTTTATTTCATTAAGTTGATCTTCAATCTGTGATATTGTTTCTTCCGTTTGATTGATTTGGCTATTGATACTTGTGTATACTTCATGAAGTTCTTGTGCTGTGTTTTTCAGCTCCATCAGGTCATTTGTGTTCTTCTCTAAACTGGCTATTCTAGTTAGCAGTTCCTGTAACCTTTTATCAAGGCTCTTCGCTTCCTTGCATTGGGTTAGAACATGTTCCTTTAGCTGGGAGGAGTTTGTTATTACCCACATTCTGAAGTATACTTCTGTCAACTCATTAATCTCATTCTTCATTCAATTTTGTGCCCTTGCTAGAGAAGAATTGCAATCATTTGGATGAGAAGAGGTGTTCTGGTTTTTGGAAGTTTTGGCTTTTTTGCGCTGGTTTTTCCTCATCTTTGTGGATTTTTCTACCTTTTTTTTTTGAGACTGATGACTTTTGGATGGGGTTTTTGTCGGGGGGAGGGGACTCCTTTTTGTTGATGTTGATGATGTTGCTTTCTGTTTGTTAGTTTTTCTTCTAACAGTCAGGCCCCTCTTTTGCAGGTCTGCTGCAGTTTGCTGGGGGTCCACTCTAGACCCCCAGGTGTCACCTGCGGTATCACCAGTGGAGCCTGCAAACAGCAAAAATTGCTTTCTGCTCCTTCCTCTGGAAGCTTCGTCCCAGACAGGCACCAGCCTGATGCCAGCGGGCGCTCTCCTGTATCAGGTGAATGTCGACCCCTGCTGGGAGGTCTCTCCCAGTCGGGAGGCACAGGGCTAAGGGACCCACTTGAGGAGGCAGTCTGTCCCTTAGCAGAGCTTGAACACTGTGCTGGGGGAATCCTCCTTGTTAGGATCCGCTGCTCTCTTCAGAGCTGGAAGGCAGGAGTGTTTAAATCTGCTGAAGCTGCTCCCACAGCCACCCCTTCCCCCAGGTGCTCTGACCCAGGGAGCTGGGAGTTTTATCTATAAGCCCCTGACTGGGGCTGCTACCTTTCAGAGATGCCCTGCCCAGTGAGGAGAAACCTAGAGAGGCAGTCTGGCCAAAGCCACTTTGCTGCACTGCGGTGAGTTCCGCCCAGTCCAAACTTCCTGGCCTCCTTAGCAATGTCAGGGGAAAACCGCCTACTCAAGCCTCAGTCATGGTGGACGCCCCTCCCCCAACCAAGCTGGAACGTCCAAGATGGACTTTAGACTGCTACAATTGCTACGCTAGTGGAGAGAATTTAAAGCCAGTGGTTCTTAGCTTGCTGGGCTCCACGGGAGTGGGACCCGCTGAGTGAGACCACTTGGCTCCCTGGCTTCAGCGCTTTTCCAGGGGAGTGAACGGTTCTGACTTGCTGGGGTTCCAGGCACTACTTGGGTACGAAAAAAAAAAACTCCTGCAGCTAGCTTGGTGTCTGACCAAACAGCCACCCAGTTTTGTGGTTGAAACCCAGGGCCTTGGTGGTGTAGGCACATGAGGGAATCTCCTGCTCTATGGATTGCAAAAACCATGGAAAAAGCGTAGTATCTGGGCTGGATAGCACAATCCTTCATGGCTTCCCTTGACTGTGGGAGGGAGGTCCCTGGCCCCTTGCACTTCTTAGGTGAGGCAACGTCCCACCCTGCTTCTGCTTGCCCTCTGTGGGCTGCACCCACTGCCTAACCAGTCCCAGTGAGATCAACTGGGCACCTCAGTTGGAAATGCAGAAATCACCCACCTTCTGCATTGGTCTCACTGGGAGCTGCAGACTGGAGCTGTTCCTATTCAGCCATCTTGCCAGATATATTTACTCAATATTGTTTACGGTCATCATATAGTCCCTTTTGTGCAATGTTTTATTTATACTTTGAAAGAATATGAATTCTGCTGTTATTAGTTGTGGTGCTCTGTGAGACCAATTTTCATAAAAATATTCAAGTCTTCCATAATTTACTGGTTTTATAAATATGTTTTTTATTAATTACTGAGAAAGTAATTTTGAAATATTTACATATAAATGTATTTCTTGTGTTTTTTTCTTTTCCATTCTGTGTTCATATTTTATGTAAGTATACACTTATCACTTTTATGTAAGTATACAAATAGTATTTTCATATCTTCTTGAAGAATTGACCCTTTTATTATTATAAAGGGTTGCTCTTTATCACTGGTAATATTATTTCTTGTGAAGTCTTCTTTGTTTTATATTAACACAACCATTCCAGCCTTCGTTAGTATTGTTGACTGCATGGTATATTATTCTTCCATATGGCAGCCCCCCATCTGTGGTTTTACTTTCCATGATTTTAGTTACATATGATCAACTACAGTTCAAAAATAGATAAGTACATTACCATAATAGATTTTAAAAGGGAAAGATAGAGACAGCACATTTATCTAACTTTTATTATAGTATATTATTATAATTGTTCTAACTTATTAAGTATCATTGTTAATCTCTTACTGTGCCATACTTATAAATGAAAGTTTATCATAGGTATGCATAGGTAGAAAAAGAAAACAGTAATATAAGCTTCGGTACTATCCGCTGTTTCACACACCCACTGAAGGTCTTGAAATATATTCCCTGCAGATAAGGGAGGACAACCGTACATTCAACCTTTGTTTAAGAGGCATCTCAAAGTGGAGACTATGTGTTTGCCTATTATGTATTTATTCATTATTACATTTAATGCTTTATGATCAGAGTGTTTAGATACTTATATTTAATGCTATTGCAAATATGATAGGCTTTACTGGTACTATATGGCTATTATTTTCTATGTGTTTACATCTGTTGTTTGATTATTTAATTGGGCATATATAAATTCCATTGCTTTTTCTCTTCCATTAACTTAGAAGTCATAGATCTTTGTTTTATTTGTTTTATTGTGGCTATTAAAATATCACTCCATGTTTATAAGAACTTGCAATGAATATATTTCCCTTCCTGTTCTTTGTGCTAGTATTTTCACACACCTAACTACTGCATATTTTACAAATCATCCTATTCTTTGTTATTATTTTTGTTTTGAAGCAATAAAAATAAAAACAGAGATAAAACCTTTCATGTCTATCCATGGTTCCTCATGTAAGGAACTTGGAAGTCATCACTCATAAGTACAAAGGTGAACAGACTGAAAAACCAGCAATTATTCTTAAATTCATAAATGAAGTAGGAACATGGAATGAAAATATCTCCAAGATTGGAGAGACAGACAGATGAATACAAGGAGTCACAGCATACCAGAGCAAAGACTCACTAGCAGGAGCTGCCTCAGGATTAGAGAAGCCTAAACTGTAATTAATAAACTGCTGGAGGGTTAGTATGGGCAAGTCCTAAGAGTTTAAACCTTCAGGGGTAGCCATTCATAAGCCACCTTCCCTCCACACGTACTTTTGTGAATTTTACCTCCAGAAGCTCAACGAGGATCTCTCAGTAAATATAGGAGAAAAATCCTCTTCTGTTTCTGGGGGGCTGGGGTGGGGGATATAAACCCTTTGAAATATGCCAGAGTACTTTGTTCTTTTTAGCAAGCCCTGACCTCAGGAGAAGCTAGTTAATCTGAGCTTATCCTGCGGGGAAATTATCATGGTCTAACTAACCTGGGAAAACGGAAATACCCAACTCCAGCCAGCTCTAAACTTCCCATGCGACGTAAGTGAGAAACCTAAATCCAGACCGCTCTGGCCATCCTGCCCCACTTAAGGAGGAAGAGAAAACCTGAGAAATACTTACGAAGTTCATAGACCTGAGGCATGGGTCCACTGTACGTCTGAGAAATGAGGACTATAGAATGCTTACACTCCCCTGACATCATCACATTATTAAAGGCCTATTTACACTGTTTCCTTTTACCCAGGACATCATGATCAGCTATCAAGGAAAAATACAATAAGATATAGTATAAAGCAAAAATAGCATTTGAACAACAGCATGAGCATAAGAGCCAGACTTGGCAGGGATGTTGGAATTATCTGACTAATAATTGAAAACAACTACAATTAATATGCTAAGGGCTCCAGTGGACAGACAACATGCAAGAACAGACAGACAACATGAACAGAAATGGAAATCCTAAGAAAGATCTGAAAAAAACGCTAGAGATCAAAAGCACTGTAACAGAAATGAAAATGTCTTTGATGAGTTAATTAAACTGAACAAGGCTGAGAAAAAAAGTCTCTGAACTTGAGAATATATCAATAGAAACTTTTAGAACTGAAAAGCAAAAAGAACAGACTGGAAAAAAATAGACTATCCAAGGACTGTAGGAAAACTAAAAAAGATGTAACACATGTGTAATGGTAATACCAGAAGGAGAAGAAACAGAGAAATAAACAGAAGACATATTTGAAACAATGACAGAATTTCATCAAATTAATGTCAGATACCAAACCCCAGATTTAGGAAGCTCAAAGATCACCAAGCAAGATAAATGCCAAAATAAGTACTGTTTTCAAACTGTAGAAAGTTAAAAATAAAATAAAATATTGAAAGAATGCAGAGGAAACAAAAGCCACCTTACCTATAGATAAACACCTTTCTTTGTCTTTTTTTTTTTTTTTACTGTTGTTGGTTTCACGTCTATTTTATCTTTTATAAGAATTACTACTGCTGCTAGTTTCTTTTTTCCATTTGTGTGATAAATCTTTTTCTATCCTTTTGCTTTGAGATTGCAGGTGTCTTTAGCCATTGTGGGAGACTCTTGCAGGTAGTAGACAGTTTTCCAATTTATGTCTTTTAAGAAGAATATTTAGGCCATTTATATTCAAGGTTAAATTGATATATGAGACTTTTTTCCTGTCATAGTCATGTTAGCTAGTTGCCTTGGAGTCTCAATTGTGTTATTGCTTTATAGGTTATATGAGCTTTCTATTCTCATGTGCTTTAATGATGGCAGGTATCATCATTTTGTTTCTATGTTTAGAAGTCCTTTGAGCAGTTCTTACAGGGACTGTATAGTGGTCATGAATTCCCTTAGTGTTTCCTTTTCTGGGAAATACTTTATTTCTGCTCCATTTAAGAATCTTAGTTTTTCAGGATATAAAATTCTCTACTGTCATATTACTTTTTCTTTAAGAAGGCTAAAAATAGGCCTCAAATCTCTTCTGTCTTGTAAAGTTTCTGTGGAGAAGTCTGCCTAGTCTAATGGGATTCCCTTTATAGGTGATTTGACTTCTCTCTCTGGATGTCTTTGAATTTTGTTCTTTCACATTGACCTTGTATAGTCTGATCACTGTACGTGTTGATGATATTCATCGTGTATAGTATCAACTAGATGTTCTCTGAATTTCTTGTATCTTATTGTCTGCATTTCTAGTAAAATCAAGAAAATTTTCCTGAATTATTCCCTCAAATATCTTTTCCAAATATCTAATTTTTTCTTCTTCCTCAGGATGCCTGGAAATCATGGGTGTGATCACTTTACATAATCCCGTATTTCTCAAAGGCTTTTTTTCATTTTCTAAATTATTTTTTATTTGTTTTTGTCTGTGGCTAATTAAAAAGAATACACTTCAAGCTCTGAATTTATTTCTTCTGCTTTCTAGTCTATTGTTAAAGTTTAATATTGTATTTTGAAATTTCTTCTTTTTTTATTTCCAGAAATTATGGTTTAAATGTATCGCTATTTCATCACCTTGATTATTTTGTACGGTTTCTTTGTGTTTTCATTCAACTTTCTCTTGCATCTCATTGAGTTTCCTTATAATCCATATCCTGAATTCTTTATCTGTCATTTCATAGTTTTCATTTTGGTTAGGATTCATTGTTATACTGTTGTCCTTTGGGGATGTCACAATATTCTGTTTCTTCATAGTTCTGGGGTTGTTGTGCTGCTGCCTTCTTATCTGTAGAAGCAATAACTTCTTATTTGGGGGTGTACTTTAATTTGGTAGGGTTTCCCCAGCCCCTTCAGGATATAACTGTTGTGTATATTGGGTAATGGACTTTGGATTTGACCCTATATGCTTTTAGAAGGCAAAGGCTCTGTATGAATTTCTTGGTTATAGATAGTTTTAGTGTGGTGGTTTCCTCAAATGCTTGTTGTTTGTAGGTTGTAGTAGTGGTGTGCTGCGTGTGTGTTCAGACTCACTCTCACAGAGATGGGGAAGTAGAGCTCTCAGGAGGCTTACCTCATCCCACAATGCTGTCCACTTCTTTCAGGAGGAATTATATTGGATTTTTCAGTACACCCTACACCCCAGTAGGTTGTGCTTGCAGATAAGAGCCAACTGAGTGCAGTACAATGATGACAGCAGAAGTTGTGATAGGCCCTGCAGTTTGACCTCCTGCCCAGTAGGTGAGGCTTGCAGGTGAGAGGCAGTTGCAGTGATGGCAGTGGAATTTTTACTTGGCCTTAGTTGATGAGAGAAGTACCATGGAGTTCCTGGTGATGGGCAGAGTCTAGGGCTTTCTGAGGCCCTGTTCTGTGTTCTGCCTGTGAAGTGTCAGAAAGAGGCAAAGCTGAGCAGAGTTGGGTCCAGTGCAACCAGGTTCTTTGAGGTGAATTAGACCTTAGTATTATTCTAGGAGAAGTTCTCAGGCTGCTGAGACAACCCTTCCCCTACACCAGAGAGCCCACTCAGGGGAAAAAGAGCCATCTGGTGTTTTCAGCCCAGCAGGTGTTCATTTGGCCCACTCAGCTCTCCTATCCCCAAATCTGTGGTCTCCCTCCAGCATCTGGCTCAGACAACAGGCCCAACCTGTTAAGCTAGTCCCAAGCCACCTGCTCCCAGATCACCATGCCATTCCAGGTGTTCTGGACCATAAGGCACCCTGCATCAGAAACTGCAGCTATCAGGCCACACTCTTCTCGATCTTGTCTCACAAAGAGAGGGGCACCTAGGTCCCACACCATCACAAAAACCCATGCCACACTCTTCTCTGTGTTCTGCCAGTGGGGCCTCTTCCCCTCCTTGAGATCAGGCCACAGATCTCAACTCCTTACCCCTGGGTGGTCTGTTCAACCCAGGGGTAAGGGGATGAATCTTGGGAAATTGAGACCATGCCACCTGATTTATCCTTTGCCCCTCTTGGTCAAGCACTATCTGTGATAGAGGGGTGAACTACTCCCTGGCTGCCAATAAACCACTCAGGTGGAACAATGGAGGCTATGCTATGGGCCCCACCCTGTGGAAACAATTTGGCAAACAGTCTTGGGAAGTACCAATAAGCATGGGAGTGTCTGGTTCAGACGTACCTCTGTCCTGTGGCAATGGTGGTGGGGACTGTCTTGATCATGCTCACATGCCCAGGCCTTGCTCTTTCTTTGCCCAGCAGACAGCAGGAGCTGTAGCCATTCATGGCAGGATTCAGAGCCTTGGCAGGTGGCCACCCAGAGTTACATTTTGCTACAGCTGCTCAGAGTCCAGAGGCTAGTGCTGGTGCCCAGCAATGTTAAGCAGGCAACCTTGCTTCCTCCTTCCTCAACCACGGTGTCTTCCATTGCCTAGCTGTTAAATTTCAGTGTTTTCTCTCAAAAGTGCTTTTTGGAGTGTTTAGATTTACTTGATATTTTGGTTCCTCTCCATGGAAGAGGCACATCACAGTTACCACTAGTCAGCCATCTTTAATCCTCCTCCAAATCCTAATTTTTTTGGATATTAGTGTAGTTTGTGTTATGGTGTGGGAGCTTCTTTTGCTCTTTTAGGGTTATTATTTACGGAAAGATCTTTTTTAAAATTCTTTTACTTTCAATCTACGTGTTTGTTTGGATTTAAAGTTAGTCTCTTGCAGACAGCGTATGGTTTGGTTATGTTGGTTTTTAAAAAGTCAATCCTGCCAATCTCTGTCTTTTGATTGGAGAGTTTACCAGCATAACTTCAATAACACAAAAAAACTCTTCTCTTTTAGCAACTTAATCTCCATCCCTTTTTGTTGATGATGTCACAAAATTACATCTTTATACATTATGTGCTAAAAAATATATATTAATCTCTTAGGTTGTGTGGAAAACAAAACATAGAATTACGAAGACTCTATTCATTTCTCTTCAATCTTTATGCTTTCTGTTCCTCAGACCCAATAATTCTCATTGTCCAATCTTCAAATTTGCTGATTTTTTTTTGCCTGCTTACATCTACCTTTGAATCTTCTAGTAAATTTTCAACTCAGTTACTGTAGTTTTCAGCTCCAGAACTTTGTTTTGTTTCTTGCTTAGATTTTCTATTTATTTATATCATATTTTTTTCATACTTTAAATTTTCTCAACATTTTCTTATAGTCCCTTGGTTATATTTAAGACAGTAATTTTAAAGTTTTTGTCTAGTAAATCTGCCATCACATTTTTTTTTCCAGGACAGGTTCTGTTTATTTTTTTCCTTTGAATAGGTCATATTTTTCTGTTTCTTTATATACCCTGTGATTTGTTGTTTTCATTGGTTTTGTTGAAAACCGAATATTTGAATCTAACAATATTTTAACTCTTAAAATTAGATTCTCCCTTGTCCCCAAGGTTTGCTGTTTTTATTGTTGTTGTTACTGCTTTCATTTTTTGTTTTTGTTTGTTTTAAAATTGTTTTAGACCTTGTACTAAGGATTATACTGAGGTATAACTTGAGTGTCATCGTCTCTTTTTGGAACCTGCACTTTTCTCTAGACAGGCACAATCACTTTCTGATTTTCCCTGTATGCACACTTGTTTTTGAATCTCTTAGTCTTTATTGTCTGGCTCCCAAAAGAGGAAAAGGAAAAAGGTAAAAGACAGGAGGTAAGTATCAGCCCCTTAAATTTCCTAAAAGGGGCCTGGCATGCAACAATGTGGAGAGGTGCAACAATGGCCACCTGCTTCTTTGCCTGCATGTATGTGATCAGAAGCAGCAATCAGCAAAGCATAGATCTCTGAGGTTTGGAGGAGAAGGTCCTTTTTGCCCACTATAACTCCCACAGGTTGTGTATAGGTTTCTCTAGGAACACATTCACAGGCCTGGGGTGAGAAATGGGTTGCTGCCAATATGCTAGGAGTTGAAATTAACTACAACTTACTTTCAAAGCCTTACCTGGGAAGAAATGCAAGCCTTCAGTATACTCCAGTATACTCCAGAGTTTCATGAATAGTTATGCCAGGTAGATTTTGCTTGTTCAGTTGTTGTCTAAATGGGGAGACAGATTATGGGTTCTTACTACTCTATCAACTTCAAAGAATGTTTTCCTTTCATTACCTAATTTTTGAGGCATATATTTGTAAGATTACATTTGACTTTTTAAATTTAAACCTTTAAAGATGACAATTTTCTTCTGGCTTGCATTGTTTTCTGGTGTAAAAAATGTCCATGGTTATTTTTTATTTTCTCATTGTAGGGAATGTGGCACTTTTTCTGTCTGCTTTTATGATTTTCAACAAGTTGATTATAGTGAGTCTTGGCATTTTTAATTTTTTTCTATATGCTTATCTTGCTTTAAGTTTGTCACATTTCTTGAACCTCTGAGCTTATGGTTTTCATTGAATTGAAAAAATATTTGGCCGTGATTTTGTCAATAATTTTGTGTCACCCCCTTATGGGGCTCAATCTATTGAGTAAATTTTTTACTTCGTCAGTTTATACAGATTTTTTAGTGTTGGGTTTTTTTTGTTGTTGTTTTTACCATTTTTGCTATCTTTAAACTTACTTATCTTTATGCAATATCTAAATTGCTATTAATTACATCGATTGAAATATTTTCTTTCAATATTAATTTCTTAGCTCAACATTTTACATTTGTTTCTTTTCTATAGTTTCCATATTTCTCGTAATGTTCATATTTTTCTTTAAATTTGTGAAAAGAATTGTTGTAAAGTATTTTTTTGATAATGCTCTTAACCATTATTATTTCAGAATCTCCTTCTATTGACTTGTTTCTCTCCTAGTGATTAGTTACCTGTTTGTGCTTTATTCCATTTCTAGTAATTCTTATTGTATGGTAGGGCAATTTTGATTATTATATTCTCATGTGTCTGGATTTTATTGTCTTCTTTTAAAGAGTATTGAAAAGTAACTTTAAAAGCAAGTTCTTTTAAACATGTTTTGGCAGAGAGTTGATTTATTTCCAAATCAGCTTGAAACTTTTTTTTTTTTTTTGAGACGGAGTCTCGCTCTTTCACTCAGGCTGGAGTGCAGTGGCGCGATCTCGGCTCACTGCAAGCTCCGCCTCCTGGGTTCACGCCATTCTCCTGCCTCAGCCCCGGAGTAGCTGGGACTACAGGCGCCCGCCACCACGCCCAGCTAATTTTTTGTATTTTTAGTAGAGATGGGGTTTCACCGTGTTAGCCAGGATGGTCTCCATCTCCTGACCTCGTGATCCGCCCGCCTCGGCCTCCCAAAGTAAGCTTGAAACTTTTGAAAGTTATTTTTGTTTTTCTAGGGCTAGTCTAGTGAAATATTTATTCATGTGATTGTTTAGCCCTACTATTCATGCCAAAGCTTTTCTGTGAGGTCTCTCCATTCTGGTTGATAGGAATTCTTACATCTGCTATTTCTCTATAAGCTCTGAAAATTGTTTAGCTTGTATCTCTGAGTACATGTTCTTTGCCAGGCCTGTGGGAACTTCGCTCCATGAAGACGTCTTTTTATCATTCAGCAAAGACTCAAAGTGACGCAAATGCAGATATCTGGAGCTCTTTCTTTAGGTAGTTGCCTCATTCCTGGTATTCTGTCCCATAAATTCCATCTGTCTCAGTTACTCTAACGTCTGGTCTCCATCTCCTCAACTCAGTAAGATTTTTTGTCATTTAAGGTTTCTTCTCCAGTACTGTCATTGAAAATAGTCTCTAGGCAGAAAATTCAGGTGAACATAGATGTTATCTAGCTTATTTTCTTTTCTCAGAGATTACAGTCCTATACTATCGGTTGTCTAATGTCTGAAAGCAATTATTTTATATAGCTAGTCAAGTTTTATAGTTGCATATTGTGGGTAGGTATGTCTTCATTCAGTTAATTTGTCAAGGCCATAAATTATGAGGAACATATATGCAGAGTAAAAATAAGTTCAAATACAACACAATAAGCTGGAGTTAGCAAATATTTATAGGATGATATATATTATAAATATGTGTGTATATAGATGTTTGTGTCAGTCCCATAAATACCATATAAAAATAAAGCTACAAGAATTTAAGAAACTAACAAGCATATATTATTGAAATCATAAAAAAGAGAAGCCTATGAAAACAAACAGGAATAATTCAAAAAATAGAACTTCTAGAAATTAAAACACAAAAGAAGAAAAGTATATAAGTTGAACGGGATAAGGCAGAGATGGGAAATAATTGATAAGCTCCTAGTTAGATTTGACTAAATTATATCAACAATAATTACATCTGAATAAATTACCATCAAACTGATTGAGAATATCAAAGATTTTGGATGTGTGACTTTAATATATTTCTAATAACAAGCCTAGAAATAGATAATAGGGGAAACAGAAAAAATAGGAATATTCATGAAGCAAAAGAAAATGTAAAATTATAGATGTATAAAAATCAATACATAAAAGCAATCATGGACATCTTTTGTGAAATGGTAGAGAAAAAAAAAACAAAAAAAAACTTCAAAACACCCAGTGAGAAGAGAGAGACAGTTTACCTACAATTTCTTTACCTGTCTTCTTTTGATTGTTGAGTACATAGATTTGCCCTATTTCAATGGTATAAATCTGTAGTATAAATGGTATACATGCACACATGTGCACATGCATCCACACAAGCACATACACACACTTCCCATTGGTAATTTGCCTTCTGACTTTACTAAGGAATTTTTTTAATGCATGTATTCTTTATTTTTTATATAATTTAATCTACCCAGCTTTTCTTTTGTGGCTTTTGTTGTTTGTGACACAATGGCAAGTCCTGCTCAATGACAAGGGTATATAAAAAAATTAACTCAGGTTTCTTTCCGGTTGTTCTGTTTCCTTTTCACATTTAAAAATTGAGTTGATTCATAAATTATGGTATATTACGTGAGACTTTTATGATTATAATCTTTTTCTGATAGGCAAAATTTAGCTCAAATATTATTTATTATAAAGTTGACCTTTCCCCCATAGATTGGATATGGTATTTTTGTCACGTCTTAAATGTCCAGGCTTATTTGGCTCTATTTCTATACTTTAGAAAACTTTGCTTCAATTCAGTCAATTAATAGTGAAAGGGTGCTGTGCTGTTTTGCTTATGGATGCTTAATCCTATGTTTACCATTGCTGGGTGGATTACTAGCTTGCTATCATTGAATTTTCTTCAAAGTTTTACTGCTTGTACTTGTCTTTTGTTTTTAAATATAAATTTTAGAATCACTTGTTTGGCTAGTTCTAGAAAATGTGGAGCTTCAGGTACTATTTTGATACTAAAATAATGTTACAAATTAAATGTATGAACATCATAAAATATATAAATATATATTAACTAATAAAACTACAAAATAAAATTGGCAAACCCACCTGATTTAGGAGTTTTCTTTAAATATATACCTCTCAGTGGTTGATAAATAACACAAAACAAAAACAAAACCACAGTGTAATGATATTGAAGGTATGACAATAAGAAATTATATTTGATCTAAGGAATGTGTATACAGTATTGCTTCCAACGAGTGTAAAAATAATTCTTTTCAAATTCATTTGGAATATTTAGATTAATGAACTACTTTTTAGGTGTTTTAAATGTTTAGCTTTCTAAAATATCACTATTTTATAGAATACCTTATCTGACTAAATCAAAAGTAAACAATATTCTTAGAGATATTATACTCCGGGAAAAGATATGTGCTACATCTAAAAACTATAAAAGGGTGCTATCAAGTATATATAAAGAGACCCTAAAATTAGTAAGTTAAAAAAAAAAACTACACAATACTTAAAATGGGAAAGCACAAAAACAAGAATCTCTAAGAAAAGGAAATGCATAGTGGCTTTTAAAAGATAGGAAACTATTGAGCTTTATTTCATTAAAATAAACATGAAAACCACAGTGAAGTATAATTTTACTCTCAAAAAAATTGAAGAAAGAAATAGAGTCTCATATTACCAGATATGATGGCAATATAAAATAAGAAAAATTCAAATTCATATAAACCTGTGGTAGAACAATCACTCTAGAAGACAAAAAAAAATTTACAAACAGTAGTTTGAAAAACTACTGAAGTTAAATATAGTATATTGTATTGTTAAAGCAGCCAGCTAAGCAAACATGACCAGGGCAGGAAAGGCCCCAAACCCAACAAGGAATGTCAGGGTACCATCAGGTGACGATCAGAGGGTTGTTAGTCTGTGTCTCTAAAATAATAGCTGCTTGTAGCAGGTGCCAAGGAAAGGCAGTCTCCCAACAGATAGAAACAACAGAAGCTGGTGATTGACAGTTCCTGATAAGATCTCAGGAATTGGGCAAGTGAGTTCAAGCATGCGCATTTAGAGGCAAAATGGCGGAGTTTAACTGATACGTGACCTTCTTCTGGGAACACTTGACCGGTAAGAGAAAAACCTCATTAAATGAACATATGCACAACTTCAGAAAACACACTGAACATGTGGCCCCTCCCAAGTGCTAGCAGGCCACTGCGCATGTGGACAGCCCACCCCAAGGGAAGAATCAGGGGAGGAGAAATGCAAACCCTGGAATCATGACAACATATAAAACCCCAAGTCGAGGGTCAAGGTTCTCTCAAGTTGCCTACTTGGCCCTCTTCCGAGTGTACTTTACTTTCTTTCATTCCTGCTCTAAAGCTATTTAATAAACTCTTACTCCTACTCTAAAACGTGCTTCAATTTCTCACTCTGCCTTATGTCCCTCAGCCGAATTGTTTCTTCTGAGAAGGCAAGAATTGAGTTTGCTGCAGACGAATCAGATTCACCACAGCTAACATACTTGGGAGGTTGAATGCCTCGGGCAGAAAAAGTCAAGACGCCAAAGCATGGTAGCAGCGGCAAATCCGACGGGTCTGCAGCAAACTCAATTCTTGAATGGATGGGGCAGGTATTCTCTTTACTTGCTAGAGAATCAACGATTCCATATTCAAACATCCTGTGAACTAGCTAATCCTGGGGAGAGTAATGAGACTTACCTGACAGAGAGGAGGATATATGCTGGTCTTTGAGGTTTTCAAGGCTGTGAGACAGGAAAAGCTGGAGTGTGGCTAGAACAGAGTGGTAGAAGAAACTGCATTGTTCTGATTGTATTGGTGTTGAGATAGACCAGGTAGAGTCAGCAGCACGATCACTCTCTACGTTTCCTAGAGTGGTAGTAGCAATGACAGTGGCAGCTCAGTTATCAACTTTGAGTCCTAAGGTACAAGTGAGAGTGTTACTGGCAGAACGTATTCATATCCATATGGGGTCTGCAGCAACCTCACCCTCACTTGGGAGGGGCCACATGCACAGTGTGCTTACTGAAGTTGTGAAGTTGTGTGCATGCTCATTTAAAGCTGTTTCCCTTAGCCGTGGAGTATTACCAGAGGAAGGTCATATACTTGTTAAACTCTGTCATTTTGCCTCCTAGTGTGCATGCTTAAGCCCACTTTTTCAACTCCTGAGATCTTATTGGAAAGCTGCTGATCACTAGCTGAAGGTGTTTTCTATGTATTAGAGGACTACCTTTCCCTGGCACCAGTTATGAGCAATTATTATTTTAGAAAGACAAACTAATAACTGCCTGACCATCATCTGATGGTTGCCTGACATTTCTTGGAGGGGACTTTCCGGTCCTGCTCATGTCTGCCTAGCTACCTACTCTAACACTATGACTGAGCCTCTTACATATGTGTGACAGAAAATGTGTACAAGAATGCTGGCCAGGCATGGTGGCTCATACCTGTAATCCCAGCACTTTGGGAGGCAAGGTGGGTGGGTCACTTGAGGCCAGTGGTTTGAAACCAGCCTGGCCAACACAGAGAAACCCTCTCTCTACTAAAAATACAAGAAAAATTAGCTGGGTGTGGTGCGACATGCCTGTACCACCAGCTACTTGGGAGGCTGAGGCATGAGAGTTCTTTGAACCTAGAAGGCGGAGATTGCAGTGAGCCAGGATCGCACCACTGCACTCCAGCCTGGGCAACAAAGTAAGACTCTGTCTCAAAAAAAAAAAAAAAAAAAAAAAAAAAAGCTAATAACAGCTTTGCTCATAATGGCAGAGAAAAAAAAAGAGTTAAACAAAATTCGTTAACTGAAGAAGCAATAAATAAATACATAAATACGCATACAGAATAATATTTATTGTAACATCATAAAAATAAATTAATTCCTGCTTCAAGCATTAGCATTTAAATACCTCAAAAACAAAAATGAAATAAAATACAATAAATAGATTTATCATGGAAGAATAAAGTTCAATTTTTTATATGTGTGTACACCACACACACACAGTAAAACCAAGTAATGCAATATTAAATGTGTGTGGTGTGTGCGTATGTATGTTGTAAAACTATAGAGCAAAACAAGGGAATGAGTAAAACCAAATTCAGAGCAGTGGTTACTTCATTAAGTAAGAGTAAGCAATGTGATCAGTTAATACAGAGCAGGGAATTCAACTTTATTTGTAGTGCTCTATTTTTGTAAGCTGAGTCATGAGTATCTGGATTTTTGTTTTGTTCTATCTTACTATGTAACATATACAGCCTCATAAACTATACTCTTTTGCTTATATCATATTCAAATAAGAAAGTTGATAACATAAAAACAAAGTAAGAACTCCCTAAAATTTTACATTGTTTCAATTAATTTTGACATTTTTATTTTATACAAGATTCTAGCCATAAATATGGCAATTTTGTATCTTGAAAATGTGACAAATATACTTTAAAATGTCTACTTGTTCCTTTGTTTAAAATAAAATGCTTGCCAGATCAAATAAATTTAAATATTTTTAGCTATATTGGTACTAAACATTTCCCTGTCATACCAATATGTAAAGTTGTTCTAAATCTGCTTTCATGAACATGCCATTTGAGCTAATTACTTTAGAGTAAATGCAGCTCTCAAATAATTGCTAAACCTTAGGAAATGCTTTCAATAATTGACTTAGTTTTCATAAGCAAAACTTGTGTTACTAAATCTGAATTAAATGCACATTTGAGACACTTAAAGTGTTAACATGTCAAATATTTTAATAGTGTAATAAAAATAACTTGTAGAATTAATGCCAAAAATAATTCAAACACTGCATTCACATTTTTTTACAAATTTTCTGTCATTCAAAAATGTTGTGTGGTATTTTCATGTGAATTGTGTCATCTGCAATGAATATGTTTTTCTACTAATTGATATAATCTAAATTGAAAATATTGTATTTCCTAAAGTACAAATTTCCAACTTCTGTGACTTACATGAGATAGAAAGTCTAATTTTAGAAGTGATATAAGTAGAGACAGTGAAAAATACAAAATATTGCAGAAAACTTGATATATTCATATACAGATATATAAATGTTAACTTATTCACAATTATAATTCTTTAGTAATTTTTTCACAATATTTTTACTCGTATTTTTACACATAATATTCAATTGGGAGGAAGAATGCACAGTTCTAGTCTTTCTAAAAAAAATTATCTAGTGTTTGCCTCTCATTGACTCTACATATATACAAATATAAAACATTTCTTTATCTTTTATCTTATTCCAAAAATAATTTAAGGGATGGGTAGCTAGATTGATGGCTTAGTGGCCATAATATCTCAAGCATAATATTTTCTCCTTGACCAATCTCGGTTTCTGCTAAAGATGAAAAACTCTGGACTGTGTCTCATGCTCAAACAGATTAAACTCTCTAATGTAATATCAAGAAAAAGTATGTTTTACTGAAGAAATGAAGAAGTATTTATATTACCTTTCATATATCTACATTAAACAAGTTTCAAATATTGCATTTCTTTCACTGAAGTTCTCCCTTGCCCAACCACCTCACTTCTTTCTTTATCTCCGCTAGCCTCTAAGGAACTCTTTCTGTTCTTCTTAACGACTAACTTAAAATTTACATTTAAATAAGTAGTTGCACGAAGAAAACTACATAGTATTTTTCAGTCATGCCCATCCCCTACTAACCTACTTCAACAGCAGTTTCTTAGAGTTCTCAGAAAATACAATAATCATGAGAGATATAATTAAGGCTTATAAAATAAGATTTCTCTCTAAATGGTGAGATTTGTGAATATATATATGTAATGAATATATATAATAAATACATAATGAATATATAATGTATTTATATGCCCCTGTAGATGTAACCATGCTACAGTGAATAATAGAGACATTCTAGAGATTTCTGTCAGTGAAGACAGACACATGATTTTGATACTGAAGGACCTTGACTTTTGAAATCAAGACAACTAGATTCACATTCCATGTCAACCACTAGTTAATTCCCATTAACTATAACTTGTTCTCCCTTATGTGTGGGAAATATTAACCTCATAGCTATATTAAGTCAATTTCAGTACATTCGAGTTGGCAATATATGGATTTTTGAAGTAAATAGAAAATATAGGAAAAACAACCATGAGCCTCAATCTATCATTCCTTTTCAATGGCCTAACAAAAAGGAATGTAAATGATGTTTGACCCACATATATGACTAACAATGCTAGAATAGATCCAAGTCTTTTCCAGGTACAGAATTGGGAAAAATTGAATAAATGGTTTCTTATTTCAACTTTACCAATCTATGACATTCTTACACTCCCCTTAACTCAATTCTTTTTTCTCCCTACTGTGAGCAATAATCACACCATTTCTCCCCCATCTTTCTTTTCTTATCAAAATTTCTCTCTCCTATTTCTGTAGGGCTCCATCTTTGACTTTGTTTTAACTTGAAAAAAGATTCACAGTTTAGAATTGTACAATAGATGAGTTTCTTACTTCCTTTAATGGAGAGATAGCAATTGTGCCTAAATGGTTATATTCCAGGGCAATGTAAATGTAATGGTAGTATATGGATAAGGTAGTACATATATTAATATGCTACATTATCAACGTGATGGTAATATGCAGGATTATTTCTCCTGACATATTAAAATATAATTTTGAAGGTACTTTCAAATCTTTAAACCTGTTTCTCTAGTCTCTGATATCTGTGCATTCAAGTCAAATTAAAATCATTGTTTCATAGATTTCTGTTCAAGAAAAACATATTTTCTATGAAAATTTGTACACATTTTGGAGATTACTTTATAATAATTTTTTTCCATAGGAAATATAAGCTATAAATACATTGGATCAGTAAAAAATAATCCAAGGAGAAAAGAGGTTTGTAAGA